>NC_000014.9:74611713-74763228 GCF_000001405.40 Homo sapiens | reverse complement strand
CTCGTGGTTGCCATCTTCCTTTGGGTTCAGATAATGTAGGCTCCAGTAGAATGTTCTCATAGAACTGAAAAACCATAGAGTCTCACAGCCGAAAGAGGTGGTAGAGATCCTATCGCTCCACGGGTTCATTTTTGAATGAAAAAAAAAAAAGGTTCCATTCACAATAGCAACAATCGCAACAACAACAAAAAAACATAAAGCAACTAGGAAAAACTCTAACAAGAAAGATGTAGGACTTATATGTAGAAAGCTACAGAGTCATAAAGAAGCATATCCAAGTAGGATGAAATTAGACTTCAAATAATGGAGAGGCTTACCATGATCCTGGGTGAAAAGAGGAAAAATTGTAAAGATGTCAGTTTCTCCCAAATTAAATGAATAGACCTAACTCAATTCTCCCCAGAAATTCAACTGGGAACAAAGCTGTGAAGAATGGAAAGGTGTTTTCAAGGCAGAGTGTAAGATTACACCAATTCCTGCAGACATATAGTGAGTAACATCTGCAGGAATTGTAGAAGGGGAGAAATGGAATTTTTTAGACTGTCTCAACACATATAAATCGGTGTTGCAGAATCTCAGAGCAAAAGCAAAGAGAGCAAAAACCAGATACAAAGATGGTCTAAAGACAACCTGGAAGATAATCTTCCAAAAGCTCTCAACGTAATACCAGACATAAACTCTTACTTTAGCTTGAGTGAATCACTAAAAAGCAAAGCTAATACACTGAATTCTTTTGGGTGTGTGGGGGGGGGCGGGGGGAGGGAGAACTGTGAGAATATTGTGTCAGTGCATCACTTGAGTAACATGCAAATAATTGACCTTTCTTCCATCTTAGCAACCCAGATCTTCACCTCTCTCAGGAGGTGAATGTGAATGGAAAGTGGAGCAGCAAGGCATCCTTCAAAAGGAAGAGCTTCTGTTTTCAAATAGAAATTTAGTTATGTTTCTTTTAACTTTTTATTGAAGTATAACGAATATACAGAAAATTACATGTCAAAAGACAAAATTACAACAAATTTAGTTTAAAGATCTTAATTAACTTTTACCTGCTATTCTAGAATTGGGCAACGTCTCATTCTATAAAGCAGAAACAGTGTTCCAATGAGCAGAACAATCGGGATAATTTCATAGACAGAAAAGAAACGCAGAGGCAGGGCGCGGGGGCTCACTCCTGTAATCCCAACACTTTTGGGAGGCTGAGGCAGGCAGATCACCAGGTCAGGAGATCAAGACCAGCCTGGTCAACATGGTGAAACCCCATGCCTACTAAAAATACAAAAAGTATCCAGGCGTGGTGGTGCTCACCTGTAATCTCAGCTACTCAGGAGGCTGAGGCAGGAGAATCACTTGAACCCAGGAGGCAGAGGTTGGAGTGAGCTGAGATCGTGCCACTGCACTCCAGCCTGGGTGACAGAGCGAGACTCCATCTCAAAAAAGAAAAAAAAGAGAGAAACAGAAAACTAAAAGTGGATTGTTTGTTTCAAAGTTTCTTTTCTTATAAGGTTAAAGCAGAGAGGACTTCTTTATCATGCTGGCTAAAAATGGACTGTTTGCAGACTTGGCTATTATTTCTCTCTCTCCTGGTTTATTGAATGGTCAGATAAAGATTTTAATTTTGGCATGGCAACATCAATAAACTCCATTTTGGTTTGTTCTGTTGGGCCTAATGCCCAACTTGCTATAAATTTTATTTAACACATGTCTTAAGTAGACAGCATAGTAAATTTTCACAAGCCAATCACACTTGTGAAATCGGCACCCAGATCAGGAACCCAACCCAGAAACCCTAGTTAGTTGTGTTTTTAATATTTTGGGCTGACATTTTCTTTTGAAAAATGTATAAATTTAGGCCGGGCATGGTGGCTCACACCTGTAACCCCAGCCTTGGGAGGCCAAGGCAGGCGGATCACTTGAGGTCAGGAGTTCAAGAGCAGCCTGACCGACATGATGAAACCCCATCTCCACTAAAAATACAAAAATTAGCTGGGTGTGGTGGCACATGCCTGTAATCCCAGCTACTCAGGAGGCTGAGGCAGGAGAATTGCTTGAACCCGGGGGGCGGAGGTTGCAGTGAGCTGAGATCATGCCACTGCACTGCAGCCTGGTCAACAGAGCAAGACTCTGTCTCAAAAACAAAGAAAAAAAAATATATATATATATATACACATGGGGTTTCACCATGTTGGCCAGGCTTGTCTTGAACTCCTGGGCTCAAGTTATCCACCCGCTTCGGCCTCCCAAAGTGCTAGGATTACAGGTGTGAGCCACCATACCCGGCTGACATCACACATAATGGTGAAAAGTTGAAAGTTTTGCCACTAAGATCAAGTACAGACGTCCACTATCATCACATCTGTTATGAGTTGAATATGTTGAAGTTCTAACACCCAGTACTACAGAATGTGACCTCATTTGGAAATCAGGTAGTTATAGATGTAATTAGTTAAGATCAGGTCATGTTAGAGTGGGCCCCAAATCCAATGTATCTGGTGTCCTTAAAATAAGATGGTCATGTGAAGACACAGAGGCAGAGGGAGAACACTATGTGATGATGAAGGCAGAGACTGGGATTCTGGGATTATGCTGCTACAAGACAAGGAAAACCCAAGATTGGCCGCAAACCGCCAGAAGCTAAGAAGAAGCTGGAAAGAATTCCCCTACAGGTTTCAAAGGGAGCATGACCCTGCCAATACCATGATTTCAGACTTCTAGTCCCTAGAACTGTGAAGAATACATTTCTGTTGTTTTAAGGCACCCAGTTTGTGGTGCTTTGTTACAGCAGCCTTAGGAAACTAATACAATATCTTATCAGCATTGTAATGCAGGCCCTACTAATGCAATGGGTATAAAAAGAAAGGAAAAGGGAAGGAGGGAGGGAGGAAGGGAGAGAGGAAGGAGGGAGGGAAGAAAGGAAGGAAGGAAGGAAATAAGTATTGGAGAGGAAGAAACAAAATTGTCATTGTTTACTTATATTGTGTACATTCAAAATCCAAAATAATCTACAGGTAAATTATGGGAATCAAAAGATTGCTGGGCATAAAGCCAATATACAAATAAACATGTACATATATAATCTATACATAGATACCTTTCATAAAGAAACTGAGAAACTACAGAGTACAAGGAAATATTTGTGACGCATTTAACCTGCAAAGGATTCATTTAGACAATGTAGAGAAATCCCACAAATCAATTTGAAAATGACAACTTACAGGAGAAAAATGAGATGTGAAGGTATTTCACATAAAATAAAAGTTAAATTATCAATACATGTGAAAGGAATTCAACCTCAATAGAAACCAGGGTTATGTGAACTAAAGCCAAAATGAGATACCAGTATATGTACAACTCATCAACATGGCTAAAATAAGAGATGTAATATTGAAGGTTGGCAAGGCTGTGAAACAAATGAAATTCTCATACACTGCTGGTGGGAATGTAAATTGGGATGACTACTCTGAAATACTGTCTGGTAGTATCTACCAAATCTGAACAGACCATGACCCAGGAATCTTACTCTAAGGCATATAACCAACAGAAATGCATAGGTGTGGTCCGGGTGCAGTGGCTCACGCCTGTAATCCCAGCACTTTGGGAGGCCGAGGCGGGCAGATCACCAGGTCAGGAGTTCAAGACCAGCCTGGCCAACATGGTGAAACCCCATCTCTACTAAAAATACAAAAATTAGCCGAGCATGGTGGTGCATGCCTGTAATCTCAGCTGCTTGGGAGGCTGAGGCAGGAGAATCGCTTGAACCCAGGAGGTGGAGGTTGCAGTGAGCCAAGACCGCACCACTGCACTCCAGCCTGGCGACAGAGCAAGACTCCGTCTCAAAAAAAAAAAAAAAAAAGAAATGCATAGATATGTTCACCGGGAGACATAACTAAGAATGTTTATACTGGCAGTATTTGTTTGTTTTTGTTTTTGAGGCAGAATCTCGCCGTGTCACCCAGGCTGGAGTGATCACATTGTTCAACATTTTCATGAAGAAACATTTATTAAATCATAGCATATAAAAAAGTGCACAGGCTGGGCACGGTGGCTTATGCCTGTAATCCCAGCACTTTGGGAAGCCAAGGTGGGTGGATCACTTGAGGTCAGCAGTTTGAAACCAGCCTGGTCAAAATGGTGAAACCCTGTCTCTACTAAAAATAGAAAAATTAGCCAGGCGTGGTGGCACACACTTGTAATCCCAGCTACTGGGGAGGCTGACGCAAAAGAATCACTTGAACCCAAGTGGCAGAGGTTGCAGTGAGCTGTAAGCTGAGATCGTGCCACTGCTCTCCAGCCTGGGCGATAGTGTGAGTGAAACTCCGTCTCAAGAAAAAAAAAGTGCACAAATCATAAGTGGTACAGCTTGATGAATTTTTCACAAACTGAATGCATCTATTTAACTAGCACCCAGATCAAGAAAGGAAGCATTGCCAGAAGTCCCCTTTGTGCCCCTTCTAGTCACTATCTTCTCCCACTACTATCCTGAGTTCTAACAGTGTACAAATATACTATTTATTTATTTATTTTTATTTATTTATTTATTTATTTATTTATTTATTTATTTATTTGAGACAGAGTCTCCCTCTGTCACCAGGCTGGAGAGCAGTGGCATGATCTCGGCTCACTACAACCTCCACCTCCTGAGTTCAAGCAATTCTGCCTCAGCCTCCCGAGTAGCTGGGATTACGGGAACACGCCACCACGGCTGGCTAATTTTTGTATTTTTAGCAGAGACAGGGTTTCACCATGTTGGTCAGGATGGTCTCCATCTCTTGACCTCGTGATCTGCCTACCTCAGCCTTCCTCAGTGCTGGGATTACAGGCGTGAGCCACTGCATCCGGCCACAAATATACTATTTATATACAAACAAATAGTAGCACCATCACAGCTCACTGTGGCCTCAACCTCCCTGGCACAAGTGACCCTCTCGCCTCATCCTCCCAAGTAGCCGGGACTACTACTTACTGTGCACGGCACCATGCACAGCTAATTTTTGTATTTTTTGTGGAGGCAGAGTTTCAGCATGTTGCTCGGGCTGGTCTCAAACTTCTGAGCTCAGACGATCTGCCTGCCTAGGCCTCCCAATGTGCTGGGTTACAGGTGTAAGGCACCATGTCTGCCCATACTGGCAGTATTTGTAATAGCTGAAAATGGAAAAAACAACCCAAATATCCACCTACACTAGAATGAATCGTCAAATTGTGGTACATTTATACAATGGAATACAAAACAGCAATGAGAATGAGTGATCTACAACTATGTGCAACAATGCAGATGAACCTCACAAACAATATTGAGCAAGAAAAGCTACGAAGAAAAGAGTATATACTGTATATTTTCATGTATATAAGGTAAAATAATAAAACTGATTTATACTGTTAGAACTCAGGATAGTAGCTACTCTTGGGAGAGAGGGATAGTGACTAGAAGGAGGCACAAAGGGGACTTCTGATAATGCTCCATTTCTTGATCTGCATGCTAGTTACATAGATACATTCAGTTTGTGAAAAATTCATCAAGCTGTACCACTTATGATTTGTGCATTTTCCCATATGCTATAATTTAATAAATGTACCTTCATGAAAATGTTGAACAATAGTAGTTCAGAAGAATATTTATTGTACAATTAACTTTACATATATTTCAAAAATAAGCAAACAAATTAAAATGTTAGAAGTGAGGGTAGTAGTTGCCTTTGGGAAGAAGGGAAAGAGTAGGCCTGGTGGCGAGAGACATGAGTGGGTTTCTAGGGTGCTGACAATGTTCTATTTCTTTCTTTTTTTTTTTTTTTTTTTGAGATGCAGTCTAGCACTGTCACCCAGGCTGGAGTACAGTGGCACATTCTCGGCTCACTGCAACCTCCACCTCCCAGGTTCAAGTGATTCTCCTGCCTCAACCTCCTGAGTAGCTGGGATTACAGGTGCCCACTACCATGTCCAGCTAATTTTTTTATTTTTAGCAGACATGGGGTTTCACCATGTTGGCCAGGCTGGTCTTGAACTCCTGACCTCAGATGATCCACCCACCTTGGCCTCCCAAAGTGTTGGAATTACAGGCATGAGCCACTGCGCCCAGCCAATTTCTTGAACTAAGTGGTAATTTCACAAATATTTTCTTTGTTAAAACGTATGGAGCTGTACATTTATCCCTTGTGCTTTCCTGTCTGTGTGCTGTATGTCACAATTTTAAAAAACATTTTAAGCTGGGTGCAGTGGCTCACACCTGTTATCCCAGCACTTTGGAAGGCCGAGATGGGCCAATTGCTTGAGCTCACAAGTTCAAGACCAGCCTGGGCAACATGGCAAAACCCCATCTCTACAAAAAATACAAAAATTAGCCAGGCATAGTGGTGCATGCCTATAGTTCCAGCTATTCCAGAGGCTGAGGTGGGAGGATGGCTTGAGCCCAGGAGGCAGAGGTTGCAGTGAGCTGAGATTACACCACTGCACTCCAACCTGGGCAACAGAGTGAGACCCTGTATCAAGAAAAAAAGAAAAAAGTTTTGAAAAAAAAAAGGTGGGAAAAAGAAAAAAAAGTGATGGTAGTGGAAGACAGAGAAAGGTAAGATTAGGTGGAGGTGGGTGGAAACTCTTCTCTTGGCCTTTTCCTTTCCCACTTGGCCTGATAGCTTAAGGCTCTCAGGTCCTCTAACCAGATCCCTGCCCTCAACACAAAGGGTCTTTCAGCACCTAGTTGGGAGACAGCACCACTGTTTAAACAGGCCCTTTCACATTCCCCTCATTGTTTCAAGATAAAGTTAGGCATTGTTCTAGATGCCATGGGGATCCTATCCCCTAGAATCTTACTCTCGGGGAACTAACATATACTTCAGCCACTCAAAGTTTCTAGCCTGCACAATTATTTTTCAAAGATCATAGTCATTTTTGTTTTTTGTTTTTTTTTTGGAGATGGAGTTTTGCCCTTTTTGCCCAGGCTGGAGTGCAATGGCGCGATCTCGGCTCACCGCAACCTCCACCTCCCGAGTTCAAGCGATTCTCCTGCCTCAGCCTCCCGAGTTGCTAGGATTACAGGCATGCGCCACCACCCCGGCTAATTTTGTATTTTTAGTAGAGACGGGGTTTCTCCATGTTGGTCAGGCTGGTCTTGAACTCCCTACCTCAGGTGATCCACCCGCCTCGGCCTCCCAAAGTGCTGGGATTACAGGCGTGAGCCACCGCGCCCAGCAGTCATTTTTGTTATGCAGAATCCCCGTCTCCAAAAAATTTGTTCTTTTTTTAAGTTTTTTTTTTGTTTGAGACGGAGTCTCGTTCTGTTGCCCAGGCTGGAGTGCAGTGGCGCAATCTCGGCTCACTGCAGCCTCTGCCTCCTGGGTTCAAGCGATTCTCCTGCCTCAGCCTCCTGAGTAGCTAGGATTACAGGTGTGCACCACCAGGCCCAGCTAATTTTTGTATTTTTAGTAGAGATGGGGTTTCACCATGTTGGCAAGGCTGGTCTCAAACTCCTGACCTCAAGTGATCCACCGGCCTTGGCCTCCCAAGGTGCTGGGATTACAGGTGTGAGCCACTGTGCCAGGCAATTTTTAAAAAATTAATTAATTATTATTATTTTTTTTTGAGATGTCTTGCTCTGTCGCCCAGGGTGGAGTCCAGTGGCACAATCTCAGCTCACTGCAACCTCCGCCTCCCGGGTTCAAGCAATTCTCTTGCCTCAGCCTCCCGAGTAGCTGGGATTACAAGCATGAGCCACCTTGCGTGGCTAATTTTTGCTTTTTGTTTTGTTTTAAGAGTCCCACTCTGTTGCCCAAGTTGGAGTGCAGTGGCACAATCTCAGCTCACTGCAACCTCCACCTCGCGGGTTCAAGCGATTCTCCTGCCTCAGCCTCCCGAGTAGCTGGGATTACAGGCATGCACCATCACGCCTGGCTAATTTTTGTAGTTTTAGTACAGACAGGGTTTCACAGTGTTGGCTGGGCTGGTCTCGAACTCCTGACCTCAGGTGATCCACCCACCTCGGCCTCCCAAAGTGCTGGGATTACAGGCTTGAGCCACTGCATCCGGCCAATTTTTGCATTTATAGTAGAGACGGGGTTTCACCATGTTACCCAGGCTGGTCACGAACTCCTGAGGTCAGGTGATCAGTCTCCCAAAGTGCTGAGATTATAAGCATGAGTCACTGCACCCAACCTCCTTTTTAAATTTTTTTTAGAGACAGGAGCTCACTCTGTTGCCCAGGCTGGAGTACAGTGGCGCCATGACAGCCACTGCAGCCTTGACCTCCTGGGCTCAAGTGATCCCACAGCCTTAGCCTCCAGAGTAGCTGGAACTACAGGCATGCGCCACTATTCTTGGCTAATTTTTTAACTTTTTACTTTTTGGTGGACATAGGGTCTCACTATTTGCGCAGGCTGGTCTCAAACTCTTGGCTCCAAGGAATCCTCCTGCCTTGGCCTCCCAAATTGCTGGGATTACAGGTGTGAATGACCACATCCAGTCCAAAAAATTCTTTAAAGGAAGCCTCATTGTTGGTATAATGCTCTCCTCATGACAGCTTAGTAACATTGACTTCACATTATAAAGACCAACCCAGCCCATTTTTCAGAGATTAATTTCACCAATCCAGAACATGAAAAGTAAAGAACAATAAAAATATAAAGTGCTCTGATTCAGAATGGTCTAAAAGATGAGTTGAAGCACAAATACACAGAAGGTTTTGTGTGGGAGACCCCAGAGAAGTCAGCTGCCAATTGTCAGTTCTGTCAAAGTCAACTACCATTAGTCTCCTTCAGACTAGGTTTATAACCTAGCTGCATTTCTTACTTGTTACATTTCATTCTTAGGGTTACTAGAGTGATTTGAATGAGGCCTCTAAGAGGACGTGACATTTTATTAGCTAGTGGTTTGAGGACATATTCTGACTGGCTGGTGGTTTACATACCATTCTCTGGAATAAAACCTCTGCTAGCTCTTGTAGCTTATGCAATTGGAAACAACAGGATCTAGATGCAGATTAACTGCTATGGGGTCTACCCTTAGGCAGGCATTTCACCAGGATTCTCGATGGGTTGTGTCCAGACTCAGAGTAACCTGGTCATATATAACCTTGGCAATATTCATGCTGTGCTTCTTCCCTTCCACCGTCAAGGCTCTGGATGCTGGAAGAAACAAGGTTCAACTCTTTTTTTTTTCTCCCTAAGCCACTGAATGCCTTCTTAGATATATGGGATGATAGTGAGAGAAGGGTTCTGAAAGAAGGAGCCTTCAGTGCTCCCCTTCAGCTTCTATAGGGAAAGGGCTGGGCACTCTGATCTAAATTCTACTACTATATTGAGGAAAATGTAACATTTCAAGAAAAATAATTTAGGTACTATTAGGAAGAAGGAGTGGATGTGGGCAAGCAAAAACAATAAATATTCACTACCCTGGGGAAGGGGCCTTCATTGTCAGGCAAATGTGTTCAAATACAGGGACATAAAAAGGAATTTGGAAGTATAGACCAAATGCAAAAAGAACATCATCAAAAAGATCTCGAGTTTGGGAAGCATACCTTCTAAGGAGCATGCTTCCTAAGGTCATGACCCAGAAGTGATGCATATTACTTTCAGCCACATCATCTTGTCTATGATTTGGTTGGGCATGCCCAGCTGCAATCCAGGTGAAACTCATTAAATCTGTTATTAAAGGAAGAAGGGGAAAGTAGATCCTGGGACAACTGGCAGTATCTACCACACTGACAATACCAAGTTCTAATGAGGTTGTGGAAAAATTGAAATTCACATGTACTGTTGATGGGAGTATAAATATATACTTAGAGTAATTTGAACTGGGTGCAGTGGCTCATGCCTGTAATCCCAGCACTTTGGAAGGCTGAGACAGGCACATCACCTAAGGTCAGGAGTTGGAAACCAGCCTGGCCAACATGGTGAAACCCCACCTCTATTAAAAATACAAAAATTAGCTGGGCATGGTGGTGCATGCCTGTAGTCACAGCTACTCGGGAGCCTGAGGCAGGAGAATCACTTGAACCCGGGAGGCGAAGGTTGCAGTGAGCTGAGATCGCACCACTGCAGTCCAGTCTGGGCAATAGAGCGAGACTCCATCTCAAAAAAAAAAAAAAAAAAAAAAAAGGCTTGAAAAGATGAGCTAAGAAAACACAGATCCGAAAAAGAACAAAACAGAACTTCTAGTAGTAAAAAATCTAACTGAAAGAAAAAACCAAATGAGTGAATTTAACAATTTAGCAGCATATTAGACAAGGCTGAAGAGAGAATCAGAAAACTGAAAGATAGAATTCAGGAAAGATCCAGAATGCACACAAGAGAAGAAAATGGCAAATATGTAAAAGAGGTCAAAATATTTAGAAGATTGAGGCCAGGTGTGGTAGCTCATGCCTGTAATCTCAGCACTTGAGAGGCTGAGGTGGGCAGATCACTTGAGGCCAGGAGTTTGAGACCAGCCTGGCCAACATGGTGAAACCCTGTCTCTACTGAAAATACACATTTAGCTAGGCATGGTGGTATGTACCTGTAATCCCAGTTACTCAGGAGGTGGAGGCACAAGAATTGCTTGAACTTGGGAGGTGGAGGTTTCAGTGAGCCAAGATCACGCCACTGCACTCTAGCCTGGGTGACAGAGCAAGACTCCAACTCAAAAATAAAATATATATTACATATATATTTATATATATAAAGATTAAGTGAGAAGATCTAACAATTTTATTTTGTGCTTTTTCAGTTGTTGCACCTGTCTTTTTTTTTTTTTTTTTTTTTGAGACAGAGTCTTGCTCTGTCTCCCAGGCTGGAGTGCAGTGGCGCTATCTTGGCTCACTGCAAGCTCCGCCTCCTGGGTTCATGCCATTCTCCTGCCTCAGCCTCCCAAGTAGCTGGGACTACAGGCGCCCGCCACCACGCCTGGCTAATTTTTTTGTATTTTTTAGTAGAGACGGGTTTCACCATGTTAGCCAGGATGGTGTCGATCTCCTGACCTCGTGATCCACCCATCTCGGCCTCCCAAAGTGCTGGGATTACAGGCGTGAGCCACAGTGCCTGGCCTTCTTTTTCTCTTCTCTTCCTCTCTTTTAGATTGCTAGTTTCTTATTTATTGATTGATTGATGTAATTTGGCTCTGTGTCCCCACCCAAATCTCATGTTGAATTGTAATTCCCAATATTGGGGGAGGGACCTGGTGGGAGGTGATTAGATCATGGAGGCGGACTTCTCCCATGTTCTCATGATAGTGAGTGAGTTCTCATGAGATCTGCTGGTTTAAAAGTGGGTGGCACTCCCCTATTAGCTCACTGTCTCTCTCCTGCTCTGCCATGGTAAGACGTGCTTGCCTCCCCTTCACCTTCTGCCATGATTGTAAGTTTCCTGAGGCCTCCCCTCACCATGCTTCCTGTACAGCCTGCAGAACTGTGAGTCAATTAAACCTCTTTCCTTCATAAATTACCCAATCTTAGGTATTATAGATTTTTATAGCAGTGTGAGAACAGACAGATACATTTATTTATTTTTATTTTTTATTTTTTTTCTGAGATGGAGTTTCACTCAGTCGCCCAGGCTGGAGTGCAGTGGCACAATCTCGGCTCACTGCAACCTCCGCCTCCTGGGTTCAAGCAATTCTCCTGCCTCAGCCTCCTGAGTAGCTAGGATTACAGGCGCCTGCCACCACGCCTGGCTAATTTTTTTGTATTTTTAGTAGAGACGGGGTTTCACCATGTTGGCCAGGCTGGTCTCAAACTCCTGACCTCGGGTGATCCGCCTAGGCCTCGCAAAGTGCTGGGATTACAGGCATGAGCCACCATGCCTGGCCATTTATTTATTTACTCATTTATTTGAGACAGGATCTTACTCTGTCACCCAGGCAGGAGTGCAGTGGCAGGATTATAGCTCATTGCATCCTCAACTCAGGGGATCAAGGAATTGGAATCCTCCTGCCTCAGTCTCCCAAGTAGCTGAGACTACAGGTGCATGCTACTGCTCCCAACTAATTTTTGTATTTTTTGTAGAGACAGGGTCTCGTTTTGTTACCCAGGCTGATCTCAAACTCCTGGGGCTCAAATGATCCTCCTGTCTCAGCCAGTTTCTTTCTTTCTTTTTTTTTTTTCTGAGATGGAGTCTTGCTCTGTCACCCAGGCTGGAGTGCAGTAGTGCGATCTTGGCCCACTGCAACCTCCACCTACTGGGTTCAAATGATTCTCCTGCCTCAGCCTCCCGAATAGCTAGGATTACAGGTGCACACCACCATGTCCGGCTAATTTTTGTATTTTTAGTAGAGATGGGGTTTCACCATGTTGGCCAGGCTGGTCTCGAACTCCTGACCTCAGTTGATCCACCTGCCTCAGCCTCCCAAATTGCTGGGATTACAGTGTGAGCCACCGCACCTGGCCCACTTTCTTTTTTATAACTTATTTTTCCCTCTCCTGGGTTGCTTTATTTCTTTAGCTAATTAATCCAGATTTTTTTCCTCTCAATCATGTTAATTTTTTATTAGTAGTATTAATAAATTATTACTTATAAGCACATTGATAACAGAAATTGCACTGAGAAACAAAACAGACACAGGCCAAGCTTTTTGAATTTCAAATATGTTTATATTAACATATTCTATTTTAGAAAAAGCAGCACAAAGAATATGTCTTAAGTAGTTTATGTAATATAAAGTCATCTATGGGTCAATCCATTATACTTATTAAAGTGTATCTCCCACTTTTTAATTTCCAGAGTGAGCGAACATATTGTAGTATTTGTGGTGTAACTTATAATACACAATATATAATACACAAAATACACACAATATATAATACACAACAATAATTCAGAGACTATTTAATGATGACCTATTATGGGCTTAGATACCTCAGATGAAAATTTCTAGGGCATTAACATTTTCCTGTGATAAACTACAGTGACCACTTGGAATACATAGAACTGTGTGTGTCAAGGAACACACAGCATTATATATGAAATAAAGCATAAGTATTTATACATACCTGAAACCTGTGTTTTGTTTGATTGCATCATGTACTGCCCAATCTTCAAATAATATTGAAAACAGCCTTTAAAATAAAGCTTAGGCAAGCCACGGTGGCTCACGCCTGTAATCCCAGTACTTTCGGGGGCTGAGGTGGGTGATCGCTTGAGCTCAGAAGTTTGAGACCAACCTACGCAACATGGCGAAACCCCATCTCTACAGTAAATACAAAAATTAGCTGGATGTGGTGTCCCAGATACCTGGGAGGCTGAGATGGAAGGATGGCTTGAGCCAAGGAGGCAGAAGTTGCAGTGAGCTGAGATCATGCCACTGCACTCCAGTCTGGGTGACAGAGCCAGACCCTGCCTAAAAAAAACAAAAACAAAACAAAACAAAACAAAACAAAAACCAATAAAACAACCTTAAATGGATATGATGTTCTGATCAACAGTTCCTTTGATAATTAAACTTTCATTTCCCACTGTGCATTGCTTTGATCTACATATCCATATTTACTTTGTGTTTTTTTTAAAAAAGATAATATTAAATTTACCATCTGCTATGATTTGAATGTGTCTCCTCCAAAATCTACATGATGTCACTATAATAGTATTAAGAGGTGGCATTTGTTTTTTTTTTTTTTTGAGAGGGAGTTTCACTGTTGTTGCTCAGGCTTGAGTGTAGTGGCATCATCTCGGCTCACTGCAACCTCTGCCTCCCGGATTTAAGCAATCCTCCAGCCTTAACCTCGTGAGTAGCTGGGATTACAGGCATGCGCTACCATGCCCAGCTAATTTTTTTGTATTTTTAGTAGAAATGGGGTTTCAACATGTTGGCCAGGCTGGTCTTGAACTCCTGACCTCAGATGATCCATCCGCTTTGGCCTCCCAAAATACTGGGATTACAGGAATGAGCCACAGCACCTGGCCAAGAGGTGAGATCTTTAAGAGGTGATTAGGCCAGTAGGGCTCCTCCCTCATTAACAGGATTAAGGCCCTTACAAAAGAAGCTTTATGCAGCCTTTGACTAGCTTGTCATTTGTTTGCCATGTGAGGACACAGCAAGAAGGCCCTCACCAGATGCCAGTGCCTTCATCTTGGACTTTCCTTACACTCCAGAACTGTGAAAAAATAAATTTCTGGGTTTTTTTTGAGACACAGTTTTGCTCTTGTTGCCCAGGCTGGAGTGCAATGGTGCAATCTCGGCTCACTGCAACCTCCACCTCCCAGGTTCAAGCAATTCTCCTGCCTCAGCCTCCCGAGTAGCTGGGATTACAGGCACGAGCCACCACACCCAGCTAATTTTGTACTTTTAGTAGAGATGGGGTTTCAACATGTTGGTCAGGCTGGTCTCGAACTCCCGACCTCAGGTGATCTGCTTGCCTTGGCCTCCAAAAGTGCTGTGATTACAGGCGTGAGCCACCATGCCCAGCTTAATCTAGGAGTTTTATAGTTTTAGTCCTTATATTTAGGTTTTTAATCCATTTTGAGTTAATTTTTGTATATGGTGTAAGGTCCAACTTCATTATTTTGCATGTGGACATCCAACTTTCTCAACAGAATTTGTCAAAGAGAGTGACCTTTCTCCAGCATTACCCTTGTTAAAAATCATTTGGCCAAATATCCAAGGGTTTACTTCTGGGCTCTCTATTCTATTCTATTGGTCTACATATCTGTCTTTATGCCAGTTCCATGCTTTCTTGATTACTGCTGCTTTGTAGTACGCAATCAGAAATTGTGAGACCTCCAACTTCAGTCTTCTTTTTCAAGATTTTTTTTTTTTTGGCTATATGGGGTCCCTTGAGATTTTGTATGAATTTTAGGATGGCTTTTTCTATTTCCGCAAAAAGTGCCATTGGGATTTTCTTTTGTTTTTTTCTTTTTCCTTTCTTTTTCTGAGATGGAGTCTTGCCCTGTTGCCCAGGCTGGGATGCAGTGGCATGATCTTGGCTCACTGCAACCTCCATCTCCCAGGTTCAAGCAATTCTCCTGCCTCAGCCTCCCAAGTAGCTGGGACTACAGGAGTGCACCACCATGCCTGGGTAATTTTTGTATTTTTTAGTAGAGATGGGGTGTCACCATGTTGGTCAGGCTGGTCTTGAACTCCTGACCTAGTGATCTGCCCGCCTTGGCCTCCCAAAGTGCTGGGATTACAGGCGTGAGCCACCACGCCCCACCTGCCATTGGGATTTTCATAAGGATTACATTGAATCTGTAGATCGCTTTGGGTAGTATAGACATTTTAATGATATGGGGTCTTCTAATCCATGAGTGTGGGATGTCTTTCTATATTTTTGTATCTTTTTAAAAAAATTTCTTTTAGCAATGTTCTATAATTTTCAGTGTACAAGTCTGTCACCTCTTTGGTTAGTTTTACTGCTAAGTATTTTATCCTTTTTGATGCATAGCAAATGGGATTGGTTCCTTAATTTCTTTTTCAGATCAGTCATGTGATTATTACTATATAAAATGCTACTGATTTTTGTGTGTTGATTTTGTATCCTGAAACTTTGCTGAAATCATTTATTCATTGTAACAGTGTTTTGTGAATTCTTTAGGGATTTTGATATGTAAGATCATATCATCTGTGAATAGAGATCATTTTACTTCCTTTCCAATTTGGATATCTTTTATTTCTTTTTCTTTTCTAATTGCTTCAACTCCAACTTTTTAACATATACTTTATCAGTTGGTATAGGCCAAGGTCATGCTGCAGTAATAAAAGCAAACAAACAAACAACAACCCAAATATCAATGGCTTAAAACAAGAAATGCTTACTTATTGTTCACCCTAATGTCACCACCATGAACTGGCTGAGATGTTCTGTGGGACCCAGGCCAAGTCAGTTTCCATTTCCAGGCTTTCATGATTACCAACACAGGGCAAAGGGGGCACAGCTAATCACACAATGACTTAAAGCTTCTGTCAAGAAATGATACATGTCATCTTCACTCACATTGCATTGGCCAAAGCAAGTCGCTTTGCCACATCTGACTTTAAAGGTGGTGGGGAAGAGCAATGCTACCTTGGTCCGTAAAACAGAGAGCCAGAATACTTGGTGACCAGCACAAGCCGTTGCTACACTCTACCCTTCTGTTTACCAAATGTTGAACTCACTTTCCCAATCACAGGCAAAGTATACACAATTCCCTCACCCACAGAGACAATCTTAAAGTCCTGTCCAGTAATGTCATCATGCTCAAGGACCACCACATCTAGGTGATGCAGAGTAGAGGTATATGTAGGTGATGCAAGCAAGGGGTATATGTAGTAGTTTCTATCTCAGGAGGTGTGGCTTCACTTGATCTAGAGACCTATGCGACAAAAGGACAAATAATCTGCCTTTAAACACCACATATACAATGGCGGAATAGGAACAGAACATCCACAGTGAACACTCCCGTTTTAAAAAAGAAAAAAAGCTGGGTCTGGTGGCTCATGCCTGTAATCCCAGCACTTTGGGGGGCTGAGGCGGGAGGATCACTTGAGGTCAGGAGTTCGAAACCAGCCTGGGCAGCATGGCAAAACCCTGACTCTACTAAAAAAATACAAAAATTAGCCAGGTGTGGTGGTGCATGCCTATAGTCCCAGCTACTCCAGAGGCTGAGGCAGGAGAATCGCTTGAACCCAAGAGGCAGAGGCTGCAGTGAGCCAAGATCACCCCACTGCACTCCAGCCTGGGTGACAGAGGGAGATTTCTCTTAAAAAAAAAAAAAAAAAAAAAGCAGTCAGGGGCAGTGGCTCACGCCTGTAATCCCAATACTTTGGGAAGCCAAGGCAGGTGGATTACGAGGTCAGGATATCAAGACCATCCTGGCCAACATGGTGAAACCTCATCTCTACTAAAAATATAAAAATTAGCTGGGTGTGTTGACGCGTGCCTGTAATCCCAGCTACTCAGGAGGCTGAGGCAGGAGAATCCCTTGAACCTGGGAGGCAAAGGATGCAGTGAGCTGAGATCGCGCCACTGCACTTTATTTAGCCTGGTGACAAAGCGAGACTCTGTCTCAAAAAAAAAAAAAAAAAAAAGAATAGAAAAAGAAAACAAAGGACACACAGCAGTGACTAGTCTGGAGCACCCTACTTTGGGGATAATGAATTTAGAAAAGGTAAAAATCAAAAGATGGACAAAATATATAAGGTAAATGCAATACAAAAAGAAGTAGAAAAAGAAAGCATTTAAGTCCTGTTCTTAACATCAGAAAAAGTAGAATTTAGGCCAAAAATCATTAAATAAGGCAAAAGGATATATTATAATGCCTGATATGGTTTGACTGTGTCCCCACCCAAATCTCATCCTGAGTTTAGCTCCCATAATTCCCATGTGTTGTGGGAGAGACCCGGTGAGAGTTCATTAAATCATGAGGGCAATTTCCCCCATACTGTTCTCATGGTAGTGAATAAGTCTCACGAGATCTGATGGTTTTTTGGTTTTTGGTTTTTTTTTTTTTTGAGATGGAGTCTCGCTCTGTCACCCAGGCTGGAGTGCGGTGGCACGATCTAGGCTCACTGCAAGCTCCACCTCCCAGGTTCATGCCATTCTTCTGCCTCAGCCTCCCAAGAAGCTGGGACTACAGGCGCCTGCCACCACGTCCAGCTAATTTTTTGTATTTTTAGTAGAGACGGGGTTTCACTGTGTTAGCCAGGATGGTCTTGATCTCCTGACCTTGTGATCTGCCCGCCTCAGCCTCCCAAAGTGCTGGGATTAGATCTGATGGTTTTATAAGGAGTTTTCCTTTTCACTTCGCTCTTATTCTCTCCTCTGCCACCATGTAAGACATGCCTTTCACTTTGCATCATATGATTGTGAGGCCTCCCCAGCCATATGGAACAGTGAGTCCATTAAACCTCCTTTTGTTTATAAATTACCCACTCTCTGATACGTCTTTATCACCAGCATGAAAACGGACTAACACAATGCCAAAGGCTACAATTAGGAAGAACTATATCAGTTATGAGTATCCATGCACAAAACAATACAGTAGCGACTTTCATGAAGTGGAAACACTAAGTAGTTAAAAAAAAAAAAAAAAGCTGGGTGTGGTGGCTCACACCTGTAATCCCAGCACTTTGGGAGGCTGTGGGCAGATCACGAGATCAGGAGTTCGAGACCAGCCTGGTCAACATGGTGAAACCCCGTCTCCACTAAAGATACAAAAAATTAGCCAGGCATGGTGGCGCACGCCTGTAATCCTAGCTACTTGAGAGGCTAAGGCAGGAGAATCGCTTGAATCCAGGAGGCGGAGGTTGCAGTGAGCTGAGATTGTGCCATTGCATTCCAGCCTGGGTGACAGGGCAAGACTTTGCCTCAAAAAAAAAAAAAAAAAAAAAAGCACGAGTTTTAGGACACTCTAATGTATTTTTCTGCTTTTGACTTCTGAAAGAGTCAAAAATAAAAAGTATAAGCATAGGCTGGGCATGGGTGGCTCACACCTGTAATCCCAGCACTTTGGGAGGCTGAGGTGGGTGGATCACCTGAGGTCAGGGGTTCAAAACCAGCTTCGCCAACATGGCAAAACACCATCTCTACTAAAAACACAAAATTAGCCGGGCATGGTGGTGCATGCCTGTAATCCCAGCTACTTGGGAGGCTGAAGCAGAAGAATCACTTGAACCTGGGTGGCGCAGGTTGCAGTGAGCCAAAATCACGCGATTGCACTGCAGCCTGGGCAATAAGAGCGAAACTCCGTCTCAAGGCCGGGCGCGGTGGCTCACGCCTGTAATCCCAGCACTTTGGGAGGCTGAGGCGGGCAGATCACGAGGTCAGGAGATCGAGACCATCCTGGCTAACACGGTGAAACCCCGTCTCTACTAAAAACACAAAAAAATTAGCCGGGCGTGATGACGGGCGCCTGTAGTCCCAGCTACTCGGGAGGCTGAGGCAGGAGAATGGCGTGAACCCAGGAGGCGGAGCTTGCAGCGAGCCGAGATAGCGCCACTGCACTCCCGCCTGGGCCACAGAGCGAGACTCCGTCTCAAAAAAAAAAAAAAAAAAAAAAAGTGAAACTCCGTCTCAAAAAAAAAAAGTATAAGCATACAGAAGACCGAAATAATTGGGTAGATCTTATGGATAAATATTAAACCTACATAACAGAGAGTGCACCTCCTTTTCAAGTGTACATTGTACTTTCATGACATTTTCCATGTGTTAGCCCACAAAGAAAACCTCAATATTTTCCATCTTGCATATTCAAACAGCATATTCTTTTTCCATTTTTTCTTTTTTCTTTTTTTTCTTCTTTTTTTGAGACAGGGTCTCACTCTGTTGTTCAGGTTGGAGTTTAGTGGCGCGATCACAGCTCACTGTAGCCTCGACCTCCTTGGCTCAAGCGATCTTTCTGCCTCAGCCTCCCTAGTAGCTGGGACTACACAATTGCACCACCACACCCAGCAAATTTTTAAATTTTTTGTAGAGACAGAGTTTCACCATGTTGCCCAGGCTGGTCTGAAACTCCGAGGCTCAAGTGATCCGCCCACTCAGCCTCCCAAAGTGTTGGGATTATAGTAATGAGCCACTGTACCTGGCCTATTTTTTCTTTTGCGTGTCCTTTTCCATCTTTTAATTAATGAAGCATAATTTACACACAATAAAATGCCATCATTTTGTGTGCATTTTGATTTGACGAATCAATACATCAAGCAATCATCACAACAATCAAAATAGATAATTTTTAGAAACAATGAATTCCCCTCCCCACTAATTCCATTGTGCCTGTATCCAGCCAATACCCTACCTCCAACCTCAGGTGAACAATGTTTACTTTCTTCTTTTCTTTTTCTTTTTTTTCATGGACACCCCTAATACCATAACGATTTACTTTTTATCATTATAGATTAGATTTGTCTTTTCTAGAGTTTCATGTAAATGGAATCATACAGTGTGTAGATGCTTCTTGACTTATGTTGGAGCTACATCCCAATAAACCTTCTTTTTATTTTATTTTTTATAGAGATGGGGTCTCCCTATGTTGCCCAGGCTAGTCTCAAACTCCTGGGCATAAGTGATCCTCCTGCCTTGGCCTCCCAAAGTGCCAGATTACAGGCATGAACCCACCATGCCCAGCCCCAATAAATCTTGTGTAAATTGAAATATTGTAAGCTGAAAATGCATGTAATACCCTAGTAAACCCATTGTAAAGTCAAAAATCCTAAGTCAAACCATCCTAAGTCAGGCACCATCTGTATATTTTGTATCTGGCTTCTTTTGCTTCACTTGATTTTGTGATTCATGTATGTTGTTCTATCAGTGGTTTATACCTTTCATTGCTGAACAGTATTCCACTGTGTGAATGAACCACATTTTGTTTATCCATTTATCTGGTTATGCAGGGGTGCCCAACCCATGGGCCATGAATCACTAGTGGCCCATGGCCTGTTAGGAACTGGACCACACAGCAGGAGATGAATGGCGGGCAGGTAAGTGAAGCTTCATCTGTATTTACGGCCACTACCCATCACTCACATTACCGCCTGAGCTCCTGTCAGATCAGCAGCGGTGTTAGAGTCTCATAGGAGTATGAACCTTAATGTGAACTGCACATGTAAGGGATCTAGGTTGTGTGCTCCTTATGAGAAGCTAATGCCTGATGATCTGTCCCTGTCTCCCATCAACCCCAGATGGGACTGTCTAGTTACAGGAAAACAAACTCAGGGCTCCCACTGATTCTACATTATGGTGAGTTGTATAATTATTTCATTATATATTACAATGTAATAATAATAAAGTGCACAATAAATGTGATGTGCTTGAATCATCCAGAAATCATGCCCCACTGCCATCTGTGGAAAAACTGTCTTCCACAGTCCCTGGTGCCAAAAACGTTGGGGACCACTGTGTTTATGGTTGCTTGGTTTGTTTCCACTTTTTATTATGAAGAAAAATAATATGAGCAGCTGGGTGCGGTGGCTCATGCCTATAATCCCAGCACTTTGGGAGGCCGAGGCAGGTGGATCACGAGGTCCGGAGATCGAGACCATCCTGGCTAACATGGTGAAACCCCATCTCTACTAAAAATACAAAAAATTAGCCGGGTGTGGTGGCACGTGCCTGTAATCCCAGCTCTCAGGAGGCTGAAGCAGGAGAATCACTTGAGCCTGGGAGGCAGAGGCTGCAGTGAGCCGAGAACGCACCACTGCACTCCAGCCTGGTGACAGAGCGAGACTCTGTCTCAAAAAAAAGAAATTTAAAAAAAATATGAGCATTTGTATCCAAGTCTTTGTATGGACATGTATTTTCCTTCTCTTGGGTAGATACCTAGGAGTGGAATTGTTGAGTTGTATGGTAAATTTATTTTTCCCTTTATTTCCAGCTGTCCTGTGCCATTCTGTTCTAGCTATGTCTGTAAATAACACACAGCCACAAGATTAAAAAAAAAAAAATCAAATCTGAGCATCTGTCTTTTAATGAGGCTATTTAACCCAGTCACATTCATCATGACTACTGCATGTCTAGTCTTATTCCCACCATCTTACTTTTTTTTTTTTTTGAGATGGAGTTTCGCTCTGTCACCCAGACTGGAGTGCAGTGGTGCGATCTCGGCTCACTGCAAGCTCCCCGTCCCGGGTTCACGCCATTCTCCTGCCTCAGCCTTCTGAGTAGCTGGGACTACAGGCACCCGCCACCACGCCCAGCTCACTTTTTTGTATTTTTTTGGTAGAGATGGGGTTTTAGCCAGGATGTTAGCCAGGATGGTCTCGATCTCCTGACCTTGTGATCGGCCTGCCTCGGCCTCCCAAAGTGCTGGGATTACAGGCATGAGCCACCATGCCCGGCCCTTATCTTACTTTGTTTTGTATTTACCGTTGCTGCTTCTTCCCTCTCCTCTTCTACATTTATTTTTCCTTTTAGTTTTTTAAAAAATTTACACATAATGAAACATACAGTTCACCAATGGTGCAGTTCCATACATTTTGACAAATTCTGCTTTTTTTTTAATTAATTGAATTTCTTTCTGTTTTCTCTCTTGGTTTAGGAGACATACATTCGATATTAATTATGATTGGGTTTGGCTATGTAAAGTAAAACCCAGGTAGGCACTTCCAATGTGTTAGTAAATATGGTCTCTCAATTTTAAAGCTTGTATTTAAAGCTTTTAACAGTTCTCCCATAGAAAAAGAGCGTAACTCTCCAGTGAAAGCTCTGGTTACAACTAATTGGCTTGTCTTTGATATCCAGGTTTGAAATAATCACAATGGCAATGGAATAAGGATATTATAATTGGCCTATCCAGGATGATTCCACTCATATTATGGCAGCAAGAGGAGTGAGCCACAATCCAGTCCTATAACTTTTTTTTTTCTTTTGAGACAGAGTCTCACTCTGTAGCCCAAGCTGGAGTGCAGTGGCGTGATCTCAGCTCATTGCAACCTCTTCCTCCTGGGCTCAAGCGACTCTCATGCCTCAGCCTCCTGAGTAGCTGGGACTACAGGTGAGTGCTACCACACCTGGCTACTTTATTGTATTTTAGTAGAGATGGGGTTTCACCATGTTGCCCAGGGTGGTCTCGAACTCTTGAGCTGAGGCGATTCACCTGCCTCGGCCTCCCAAAGTGCTGGGATTACAGGCATGAGCCACTGCGTCCAGCCTGACATTAATTTATTTAAGGAATTCTGTACCAGTGAAGAGACGGAAGAGAAAGCTTTATCTTCAGAACTTTTTCTATCCATTTATATATATACTGTATATTTCTAAATAAACAATTAAATATTTGTGATATTAAAACTTAAAACCAATATCACACTGTACCTGTTCTATAATTTAGTTTCTCTTAATAATAGGTCATAGTTATTTCCATTTAAGTGATATAGCTCAATCTCATTTATATTAATTACGGTAAAAGACACATAACAGAAAATTTACCATCTTAACCATTTTATTTTATTTTATTTATTTTGAGACAGAGTTCTTCTCTGTCACCCAGGCTGGAGCACAGTCTCGGCTCACTGCAACCTCCGCCTCCCAAGTTCAAGTGATTCTCCTGCCTCAGCCTCCTGAGTAGCTGGGATTATAGGTGCGTGCTGCCACACCCAGCTATTTTTTTTGTATTTTTAGTAGATACCGGGTTTTGCCATGTTGACCAGGCTGGTCTTGAACTCCTGACCTCAGGTGATCCACCTGCCCCGGCCTCCCAAAGTGCTGGGATTGCAGGCATGAGCCACCCTGCCCGGCCATCTTAACCATTTTAAAGCATACAGTTCAGTGGCTTTAGTACATTCATACTGTCGTACAACCAATCTCCAGAACTCTTCATCTTGCAAAACTGAAACTCCATACCCATTAAACTGTCTATTCCCCAATCCCCACAGCCACTGGCAACCACTACACTACTTTCCATCTCTGTGAATTTGACTACTCTAGATACCTCATATAAGCGGAATCACACAGTATTTGTCTTTTTGTGACTGGCTTATTTCACTTAGCACAATGGCTTCAAGGTTCATCGATGTTACAGCATGTGTCAGAATTTCTTTCCTTTGTAAGGGTGACTCATATTCTGTTGTATGTAGAGAGCACATTTTGTTGATCTATTCGTCTGCTGATGGACACTTGGGTTGCTTCCACCTCTTGGCTATTGTAAATAATGCCGTGATGAATATGGGTGGGCAAATACTCTAAGATCTTTGATTCTTTTGAATACATGTCAAGAAGTGGAATTGCTGGAATCATGTGATAATTTCATTTTTAACTTTTTGAGGAACTGCCATATTCTTTGTGGCTATACCATTTTACATTTCCAGGAACAGCGCACAAGGGTTCTGATTTGCTTCTTTTAGAGACGGTGTCTTGCTCTGTTGCCCAGGCTGGAGTCCAATGGCGCAATCATAGCTCACTGCAGCCTCGAATTCCTGGGCTCAGGCCTCTCACCTCAGCCTTCAGAGTAGCTGGAACTATGGGCATGTGCAGTGCACAGCTAAGGGTTACAATTTCTACATATCCTCACAAATACTTTTTAATAACTATTGCTTCTTTCTTTTAATAGTGGCTAAGGGGTGTGAGGTAGTATATCATTGTGGTTTTAATTTGCATTTCCCTAATGATTAGTGATATTGACCATCTTTTTGCATGTTTCTTGGCCACGTGTATATCTTCTTTGGAGAAATGTTTAAGTCCTTTGCCCATTTTAAACCTACCTCATTTTTTGTAGATAGATGTTCATGACATTCCATAGTTAAGACCCCCCACCGCTTTTTTTTTTTTTTTTTTTTTGAGACGGAGTCGCGCTCTGTCGCCAGGCTGGAGTGCAGTGGCGTGATCTCAGCTCACCGCAACCTCTGTCTCCTGGGTTCAAGCAATTCTTGTGCCTCAGCCTCCTGAGTAGCTGGGACTACAGGTGCGCACCACCACACTCAGCTAATTTTTTTATTTTAGTAGAGACAGGTTTTCGCCATGTTGCCCAGGGTGGTCTTGAACTCCTGAGGTCAGGCAATCCACCCACCTCAGCCTTCCAAAGTGCTAGGATTACAGGTGTGAGTCACCATGCCCGGCCACAGTTAAGATCCTTTTGATGGACATTTAGTTTGTTTTTTCTCTTTTATAAGCAGCAGTGCAGTAAACATCCTTCTACCTGCTTCCTTGTACACATGTGAATGTTTCTTCGCATACATATCACGTTGTCCATGCAGAGGTATTTTAAAGTGAATCACCTGTATGATACTATAAAGTTACCAAAAAAATAGAATTGGGCTCACAGGATATCTGCAATTTTTATTTTAGTGGATCTTGTCAACAGCTGTAAAAAATGGCCATAAATATTTGCACTTCTGTCAGCATGACATCAGTACTCATTTCTCTAAACCCTTGTTACATGTATTGGAAAATCTCATCAGTCACTTGTTTTTTAGGGGAGGGGAGTGTCTTGCACAGAAATCTATAATTTTAATATATTCAAACTCTTCAATCTTTTTAGATTCTGCTTAAGAATTCTATCCAAAGGTGATAAACACGTTTTTCTTTACATTTATTTTCCTAATGCTTCCATAGCTTAGAAATAAGTTTAGGGTGGGTGCAGTGGCTCATGCCCATAATCCCAATACTTTAGAAGGCCAAGGTGGGCAATAAGGCAAAATCCCATCTCTGTAAGAAATACAAAAATCCCAGCTACTTGAGAGGCTGGGGTGGATCATCAGGGCCTGGGAAGGTCAAGGCTGCAGTGAGTCATGATTGTGCCAACGCACTGCAGCCTGGGTGACAGAGTGAGAAACTGTCTCAAAAAAAAAAAAAATTTAGGTCTTTGATCCACTTGAAATATTTTTATGAATCATGTGAAGTAGGAAACTAATTTTTTTCTCTCTCTCTTTTTTTTTTTTTTTTTTTGAGACAGAGTTTCACTCTTGTTGCCCAGGCTGGAATGAGTGCAATGGCATGATCTCGGCTCATCACAACCTCCATCTCCCAGGTTCAAGCGTTCTCCTGCCTCAGCCTCCAGAGTAGCTGGGAATACAGGCATTTGCCACCATGCCTGCCTAATTGTTTTTTTGTATTTTTAGTAGAGATGGGGTTTCTCCATGTTGGTCAGGCTGGTCTTGGGCTCCTGACCTCAGGTGATCCGCCCACCTTGGCCTCCCAAAGTGTTGGGATTACAGGTGTGAGCCACCACGCCCGGCCTAATTTTTTTTCAAATGGATAGCCACCTTGCCATTGTGTAATAATCACTAACATTTACTGAAGAACACTTACTTGGGCCAGGTACTATTCAATTTAATCTCACTTTATCAGGTTTGTTTTGCGGATTAAACACTTTAAAGAGGAAACAAGGAAGGCAACAGATGGTTATATGGTTTGTCCAACTCATACAGATATTAACTGGTGGAATTAGTATTCTAACACTAACAGAATGACTCCAGACTATTTGGCCTGTTAATGAAATTTCCTTTTCCCACAGAAACGAAATACCACCTTAATAATATACCAAATCCCCACAAATACATAGGTTTTTTGTTTGTTTGTTTTTGAGACAGAGTTTCACTCTGTCGCCCAGGCTGGAGTGCAGTGGCGTGATCTCGGCTCGTTGCAACCTCTGCCTCCCGGGTTCAAGCGATTCTCCTGCCTCAGCCTCCCAAGTAGCTGGGACTACAGGCTTGCACCACCACGCCCAGTTAATTTTGGAATTTTTAGTAGAGGTGGGGTTTCACCATGTTGGCCAGGCTGGTTTCAAACTCCTGACCTCAAGTGATCTGCCCACCTCAGTCTCCCAAAGTGCTGGGATTATACATAGGTTAATGGATTTTCTATGGTGTACTGTTTCCTATGCTTCATCTTCCATTCCTAATTTACTGGGGAGGCACCTATTCATTTTTAAGATTAGCTCAAACCACATGACCACTGGCCTTTCCTCCCTCTCCATCCCAACCAGTAGAAAAAAATCATTCCACCTTTATGTGCCCATGACATGCCTCTGAAACTTTTACCCTAGCACTGCTATTTTACGGCATTTATTCATTTACATGTTTTTCTTTCCCACCATAATGAGTGTCTTGAGGGCAGGACCATCTCTTATTAAGCACCTAGTATACATTTAATAAATGTTTATTGAGTAAGTCAGTATAAAACAATGACCGCCAAATTATGTGAGCAATCATCAGAATATCTGATTTCTAAAAAGACGCAACAAAAATTTTTTATTGTAAATTGACAATTTATAATTGTATAAATGTATGGGTTACAAAGTGATATCATAAATTGTGGATACAATATGGAATAGTTAAATCAAGCTAGTTAACATATGCAATACTTCAAATACATTTCTGTGATGAGAACATCAATTTTGAAATGTATAATACCCCATTATTAAGTATAGGCACCACACTGTACAACAGAACTCAAAAAAAGCATAAAACATATTCTTCCTGTCTGAGATTTTATACCCTTTGACCATCATTAATTTTTTTTTTTTTTTGAGACAGTCTCACTCTGTCACCCAGGCTGGAATGCAGTGGCGCAATCTCAGCTCACTGCAACCTCCACCTCCTGGGTTCAAGAGGTTCTCCTGCCTCAGCCTCCCCAGTGGCTGGGATTACAGGCACGTGACACCATACCCAGCTAATTTTTTTTGTATTTTTAGTAGAGGTGGGGTTTTGCCATGTTGTCCAGGCTCATCTCCAACTCCTGACCTCAGGTGATCCACCCACCTTGGCCTCCCAAAGTGCTGGGATTACAGGAATGAGCCACCATGCCTGGCCTAGTTTTTATGAGACAAAATATCAATTTCAAAACAGCATCAGTGGCAAAACAGCATCAGTGGCTGGACGTGGTGGCACGCACCTATAGTCCCAGCTACTCCGCAGGCTGAGGCAGGAGAATCGCTTGAACCTGGGAGGCGGAGGTTGCAATGAGCCGAGATTGCGCCACTGCACTCCAGCCTGGTGACAGAGCGAGACTCCGTCTCAAAACAAACAAATAAACAAACAAACAACAAAAAAGCAGCATCAGAAAGTGAGCAGGCCAGGCACAGTGGCTCATGTCTGTAATTCCAGCACTTTGGGAGGCCGAGGCATACTTTTCTGTATTAAAAATACAAAAGTATTTGTCTCTACTAAAAATATCCACCCCCCCCGCCCAAAAAAGAAAAATTAGTTGAGCATGGTGGTGTGTACCTGTAATCCCAGCTACTCGGGAGGCTGAGGCAGGAGAATCACTTGAAGGATGGGAGGCAGGGGTTGCAGTGAGCCCAGATCACGCCACTGCACTCCAGCCTGGTGACAGAGCAAAACTTCATCTCAAGAAAAAAAAAAAAAAGAGTGAGCATATTGAACTACCCTCAGCTCATAGTAAGGCAAATAGGTCAACAGAATAATAATTCATGCTATTGCATTGGAAAAGCAATTAAAAGAAATTTAAAAATGTGTAAGCAGAAATTCAGTTGCATGTAAGAAAATCCAATTCCCCGTGAGAAAGAGAAAGAGCTGGAGTCCTTTAAAAATTAACTGCCTGTTTTTCTGTGGCTAGTGAGCCTTATCTCTCCTCCTTTCCCAGGCATTGTAAATACCCTGTTTCTCTAGCTGTGCAGCTGCAAGGTAACTAGACAGATAAACTCAAGTCGTAAAACATGATTTTCCTTGAAAAGTAAGAAATGATGTAATGCATGTCTCAGTTAATTGAATAACTGTCTTTCTTGCTTCTGTAATATGCTTCCCCCTGCACAGATTCCCCCCAACCCCCGCGGCCCCACAAAATGCTTAAAAGGTAACTTAACTCTGTTCAGGGTTCAGTCCTTTGGATGTTAATCTGACTGGGCTGGTGCACCTAAATAATAAATATCTCCCTGAACTCCATCAGTCTCTCTGATTCCTTAAAAATCCCGCTACATTTTGTGTAATGAACTGGCAACAAGAGAAAGTTGGTCGAAGAAAGGCAGAGGAACTGTGTCTTGTAAGAATTAGAATCGAGGGGCTCCATAATCATCTGGCATCCGTTCAATGTTGTATCTGATCAGGACAAAAAATCAACACCGGTAAGAAAGATGGGAAGAGAACCCATCTAAAAACCCATCCTTTATAGACTGCAATACTCTCACCCCCACTGTGAATCCTTTTTGTCAGTGGAAACAATTTAGGGGAACATCATAATGAATGATTTACAGCAAAATGCTGACTATAATACAATATGATTGTTTTTTCAAAGTCACAAAGTCAGCAAGAGGGGAACTGAGGAGCTGAGATCAGTAAGTCCAACTTCTTAGTCCACAGACTTCCCACCACATTGTGCTCTCCTCAAGCTGAAAAGCTGGAAAATAAGTCTGAGTACTGACAAAAAATAGCCAAGAAGGATAACAGCTTTTTTTTTTTTTAAATAAGCTTTCCATTTCTCAGATGAAGTGTTAATAAAAAAAAATCTTTCAAAACAGGTATTTCTGGCCAAAAAGATTAGCTTGATTTAAATTACTGCTTTTATTTAAAACAATACGTCTATTTCTTCCAGTAATCTTACTCTAACAATTTAAATGTTTGCCTCATTCCTTAAATCCTATCTCTCTCTTTTGCTCTTGCTCTTGCTTTGTCTCATTTCTTCAAATATAACTATGTAAACATTTGATACAATAATTTCTTTCAAATCCTTTATAACCTTATCACTTATCCTCATTTTCAATTGATATCAATTATATATTTCTATTCCCTTCTCCAAGGGAAATTTCTCACCTATGGTTAGAAATGTACATGATAGGAACTCCAGGAATCTTACGGATTCTTCTTTTCAGGTCCCGGTCAACTGTGGCCACAATGTAACACTTATGCTGTAAGAGACATGGAGTGATGTTCACACTGAGGTCACTGAGCACGCTTAGTGAATACTGGATAATGGCACAACGACTGACCAGTCTGAGAATCGTTCATTTTCACAGTAAGTAGCGAAGGGCAGGCTATAACAATTTGTTGAGTACCTACTATGATCTAGGAGCTCCTAATCTTGTTATATAAAATAAACAAGTTGCCTGGGCTGAATGCAGCATTTAGAATCTTGAGGAGGAGAAGGTAGAAAACTTTTCACAAGCTGCAAACTGTTTTCTGCTCATAAATGAAAGGGACTTTCACACTTGGGGCAGACAATTCTTTAGTTTTGGGAAAATGCTCCGAGGAACTCCATGGAGATAAAAAGTGCCTTAATTTGGAGGCCATAGCTCCCTCCTTTCCCTAGATCTTGGGGCTTGGGTGTGCTCTGGGCCTACTGATGTTAGAGGTAAGCTATCCCCGAAACAGGAAGCCTAAGTAGGATATTCAGGGCCTGAAACTAGAGCCTAGCAGTTATAAAAGCAGTAATATTTAGCTGTCAGGTGAAAGCTATTTTATAGGAAGCTTCACATCTGTCACGTCTGACTCTCCTACTGAGTTTTATAAAAAGTGGCAGAGTGGTGTCAGCTGTGCTGTGGGAAATACTGGCCCCACCCACCCGCCCCATGGGGTGAAGTGGCTAAAAGGATGGCTCTGTGGTCAGCAGAGCAGATGAAGATTATCATCAGCAGAGAGGCCCTTATAAAAGCACTCAGTAGCAGAAGTCCTTGTGGTGCTTAATGAAGGAATTAAAAACCTACTTATTCTAGGGTATGTGTGAAACAGCATCTTGGGAGACTCTCAGATTTAACTAAGAAGCACTTTTGGATTAGGCATCGTGAAGAGGAACAAAATTCCTACATCAAAAATAAATGGGTTCTACATTAACTCACTTAAAATCATTTTACAGAGATTTGTGAGATAAAGAATCAGTTAAATGTCCCAAATCACACAGCCAGTAAATGCAGGTGCTGAGACGTGAAACCCATGTCTCCTCCCCAAGCCTGTGCTCTTTCCATTATGGTTAGAGTGTACATTTTCAATCCACTTTCTCAAGTAAATGAAGACACCTATGCTTCTTATGAAGGAATGCTATGCAATTTTTTTTTAATTTAACCATAATGTATATTCCTAGATGTTTTACTGACCATGAACATTCAGGAGATAATAGTTTACATTTTTTTTTTTTAAGCACAAAGTAAACAGTTATGAACTGATAATACCTGAGTTACTCTCTGTACTAAGCAGTCATCTGCATAGGTTCCTTTGTGTGTACATGGTAATCGTTCAAATCTTGGATCCTTGGCAATCCTGTAGGTGGATTAAAGAAAACATTCAATCAGCTGGATAACTTTCTGAGTCTTAATTAATGCAATAAAAGTAACATGATCTATGCAGAGATTTTAAGGCACTGTTCTCCTCCTGAACTTTATCCTCTAACTGGAAAGACAATTCACGGGGCAGGGAATGAAGGCTGACAGCTAGTGTGCTTTGGGTCATTTAATCATTACAAAACTTTGAGTTATTATATATCTATTCTACAGATGAGGAAGTAGGCTTAGAGAGATTAAATTACTTCATTCAAAGCTATACAGCTGGGAAAAGCCAGGATTCAAAAACAAAACCCATTTTAACCTAACCATTTCACTTTTAAGAAGTTGTCTTAAACACAATGAACAAGAATATAGGCAGAAGGATGATCACTCAACACAGTTTATAGTAAGTGAAGAAAATAAAAATATCCTTTAGAAAGGTAAAAGTTAAACCCATTTTGGTGCCCTTATCCTATTAATAAAAAGTGAGGTAGAGCTGTACGTACCAATGTGGAAGGACCTACACTAAACTGTTGAATAAACAAAGCAGGGCATATGCATATATATATATATAATATGATTTAATTAATAAAATACAAATCCTTCTTTCCAATACTCTTTATTTAGATTTGCATTTGCACAGAAAAAGGTCTGAAAAAATATATTAACCTTTGTCAGTTGTCACTCTTGGGGTATGAGAATGGACAAAGTATGAATGTAGAGGCAGACTTTTACCTTTTACTATATGTATATGCTTGTATTGTTTGCCATAAAACACTCAAACATGTATTATTTTCATACATATTTGAAAAAGAAAAACCCCAACTCTGTGTGATTCTGAGAGCCATGCTCTTTCTATTAACAGTGATGATGAGTCACTGAAATGAAGAAAAATACAAGACAGCACATATGTACCAAGTGCAACACAAATACTCCTCCATATTGCAGTAGTTCAGCGCTAGGTCAATGTGGGTTGGGAATATTTAGAAAAAAATGACATGGGGTGAAATAAGATTAAAGAATGTGCCAAGCAATGTGAGGGTACCAAATAGGACACCAGCCAACTGTAAAATGGTTTCTTGGTATTTGGGGAAGAGTAAACACATCTTTCTGGCTGGGGGCAGAGTGTTTGTGGAGAGAAGAATGAAATGGGGCTAGAAAGAGTCTCCAATGCCAGGCTGACGAGTGTGATGACACAGGTAATGAGGAGTCATTAAAGATTTCTGGGGGACAAAGTGATAAGAACAAAGCTCTGTCTTGGAAAAACTAAGCAGGCTGTGCTGGGGAGGATACACTAGAGGGAGGATGGACTGGTTGCTGACAAACTAGGTGGGCAACAGTCTAGGACTATGCTCTTTCAGTTATCTCTTTACTCCTGAAATCACTTGTCTCCTCTCTACTAGCTCTTTCCTAGAAACATACTAACATGCTGTCATATATTCTCTGCCTTAAGACAAAAAAATCTTTTTACCTATACCCCCCTCCAGCTAACACCCCATTTCTGCATCTCTTGACAGCCAAACTTAGTGTTTCCACTTGGTGCCTCTATTTTTTCCCCTCTCATTCTTTATTTTTATTGTTTTAAAAATTACCAGGCTGGGTGTGGAGGATCATGACTACAATCCCAGCACTTTAGGAGGCCAAAGCAGGAAGATCACTTGAGGCCAGGAGTTTGAGACCAGCTGGGCAACATAGTGAGACCCTATCTCTACTAAATTTTTTTTTTTTTTGGAGATGGGGTCTCATTCTGTCACCCAGACTGGAGTGCATTGGCACAATCCCAGCTCACTGCAACCTCTGCTCCCGGGTTCAAGCGATTCTCCTGCTTCAGCCTCCTGAGTAGCTGGGATTACAGGCATGCGCCACCATGCCCAGCTAATTTTGTATTTTTAGGAGAGACGGGGTTTCACCATGTTAGCCAGGCTGGTCTAGAACTCCCGACCTCAGATGATCTGCCTACCTCAGCCTCCCAAAGTGCTAGGATTACAGGCGTTAGCCACTGCACCCAGCCTTTTTGAGATGGAGTCTTGCTCTGTTGCCTAGGCTGGATGCAGTGGCATGATCTTGGCTCATTGCAGCCTCTGCCTCCCAGCCTCAAGCAATTCTCCTGCCTCAGCATCCCTAGTAGCTGGGATTATAGGTGCCTGCCACCACCCCCAGCTAATTTTTGTATTTTTAGCAGAGATGAGGTTTCACCACATTGGTCAGACTGGTCTTGAACTCCTAGCCTCAGGTGATCTGCCCGCCACAGCCTTCCTAAGTGCCAGGATTACAGACGTGAACCACCATGCCCAGTCTCTACCAAAAAAATTTTTTTTTAAAATTAGCCATGCAAAAGAAAAAAAATAATCAGACATGCATAGTGGTATGCACCTGTAGTCCCAGCTACTTGGGAGGCCAAAGCAGGAGGATCACTTGAGCCGGAGAGGTCAAGGCTGCAGTGAGCTGTGATAGCATCACTGCACTCCAGCCTGGGCGACAGAGTGAGAATCTGTCTTTAAAAAAAAAAAAAAAAAAAAAAAGCATATACACATATCTATAAACAATGCAGTATTGGTTTGCATGTTTTTAGACTTTAGATAAATGGTATACTCCACATATGTTCTTGCTTTTTCATAGACATCTACAGAACTCTCCACCCCAAATCAACAGAATATACATTTTTTTCAGCACCACACCACACCTATTCCAAAATTGACCACATACTTGGAAGTAAAGCTCTCCTCAGCAAATATAAAAGAACAGAAATTATAACAAACTGTCTCTCAGACCACAGTGCAATCAAACTAGAACTCAGGATTAAGAATCTCACTCAAAACCGCACAACTACATGGAAACTGAACAACCTGCTCCTGAATGACTACTGGGTACATAACGAAATGAAGGCAGAAATAAATATGTTCTTTGAAACCAACGAGAACAAAGACACAACATACCAGAATCTCTGGGACGCATTCAAAGCAGTGTGTAGAGGGAAATTTATAGCACTAAATGCCCACAAGAGAAAGCAGGAAAGATCGAAAATTGACACCCTAACATCACAATTAAAAGAACTAGAAAAACAAGAGCAAACGCATTCAAAAGCTAGCAGAAGTCAAGAAATAACTAAAATCAGAGCAGGACTGAAGGAAATAGAGACACAAAAAACCCTTCAAAAAATTAATGAATCCAGGAGCTGGTTTTTTGAAACGATCAACAAAACTGATAAACCGCTACCAAGACTAATAAAGAAAAAAAGACAGAAGAATCAAATAGACGCAATAAAAAATGATAAAGGGGATATCATCACCGATCCCACAGAAATACAAACTACCATCAGAGAATACTACAAACACCTCTACGCAAATAAACTAGAAAATCTAGAAGAAATGGATAAATTCCTCGACACATACACTCTCCCAAGACTAAACCAGGAAGAAGTTGAATCTCTGAATAGACCAATAACAGGAGCTGAAATTGTGGCAATAATCAATAGCTTACCAACCAAAAAGAGTCCAGGACCAGATGGATTCACAGCCGAATTCTACCACAGGTACAAGGAGGAACTGGTACCATTCCTTCTGAAACTATTCCAATCAACAGAAAAAGAGGGAATACTCCCTAACTCATTTTATGAGGCCAGCATCATCCTGATACCAAAGCCGGGCAGAGACACAACCAAAAAAGAGAATTTTAGACCAATATCCTTGATGAACACTGATGCAAAAATCCTCAATAAAATACGGGAAAATCAAATCCAGCAGCACATCAAAAAGCTTATCCACCATGATCAAGTGGGCTTCATCCCTGGGATGCAAGGCTGGTTCAATATATGCAAATCAATAAATGTAATCCAGCATATAAACAGAACCAAAGACAAAAACCACATGATTATCTCAATAGATGCAGAAAAGGCCTTTGGCAAAAGTCAACATCGCTTCATGCTAAAAACTCTCAATAAATTAGGTATTGATGGGACGTATTTCAAAATAATAAGAGCTATCTATGACAAACCCATAGCCAATATCATACTGAATGGGCAAAAACTGGCAGCATTCCCTTTGAAAACTGGCACAAGACAGGGATGCCCTCTCTCACCACTCCTATTCAACATAGTGTTGGAAGTTCTGGCCAGGGCAATTAGGCAGGAGAAGGAAATAAAGGGTATTCAATTAGGAAAAGAGGAAGTCAAATTGTCCGTTTGCAGACGACATGATTGTATATCTAGAAAACCCCATTGTCTCAGCCCAAAATCTCCTTAAGCTGATAAGCAACTTCAGCAAAGTCTCAGGATACAAAATCAATGTAAAAAATCACAAGCATTCTTATACACCAACAACAGACAAACAGAGAGCCAAATCATGAGTGAACTCCCATTCACAATTGCTTCAAAGAGAATAAAATACCTAGGAATCCAACTTACAAGGGATGTGAAGGACCTCTTCAAGGAGAATTACAAACCACTGCTCAATGAAATAAAAGAGGACACAAACAAATGGAAGAACATTCCATGCTCATGGATAGGAAGAATCAATATCGTGAAAATGGCCATACTGCCCAAGGTAATTTATAGATTCAATACCATCCCCATCAAGCTACCAATGACTTTCTTCACATAATTGGAAAAAACTACTTTAAAGTTCATATGGAGCCAAAAAAGAGCCCACATCGCCAAGTCAATCCTAAGCCAAAAGAACAAAGCTGGAGGCATCACACTACCTGACTTCAAACTATACTACAAGGCTACAGTAACCAAAACAGCATGGTACTGGTACCAAAACAGAAATATAGATCAATGAAACGGAACAGAGCCCTCAGAAATAACGCCGCATATCTACAACTATCTGATCTTTGACAAACCTGAGAAAAGCAATGGGGAAAGGATTCCCTATTTAATAAATGGTGCTGGGAAAACTGGCTAGCCATATGTAGAAAGCTGAAACTGGATCCCTTTCTTACACTTTATACAAAAATCAATTCAAGATGGATTAAAGACTTAAACGTTAGACCTAAAACCATAAAAACCCTAAAAGAAAACCTAGGCTTTACCATTCAGGACATAGGCATGGGCAAGGACTTCATGTCTAAAACACCAAAAGCAATGGCAACAAAAGCCAAAATTGACAAATGGGATCTAATTAAACTCAAGAGCTTCTGCACAGCAAAAGAAACTACCATCAGAGTGAACAGGCAACCTACAAAATGGGAGAAAATTTTCGCAACCTACTCATCTGACAAAGGGCTAATATTCAGAATCTACAATGAACTCAAACAAATTTACAAGAAAAAAACAAACAACCCCATCAAAAAGTGGGCGAAGGACATGAACAGACACTACTCAAAAGAAGACATTTATGCAGCCAAAAAACACATGAAAAAATGCTCACCATCACTGGCCATCAGAGAAATGCAAATCAAAACCACAATGAGATACCATCTCACACCAGTTAGAATGGCAATCATTAAAAAGTCAGGAAACAACAGGTGCTGGAGAGGATGTGGAGAAATAGGAACACTTTTACACTGTTGGCAGGACTGTAAACTAGTTCAACCATTGTGGAAGTCAGTGTGGTGATTCCTCAGGGATCTAGAACTAGAAATACCATTTGACCCAGCCATCCCATTACTGGATATATACCCAAAGGACTATAAATCATGCTGCTATAAAGGCACATGCACATGTATGTTTATTGTGGCATTATTCACAATAGTAAAGACTTGGAACCAACCCAAATGTCCAACAATGATAGACTGGATTAAGAAAATGTGGCACATATACACCATGGAATACTATGCAGCCATAAAAAATGATGAGTTCACGTCCTTTGTAGGGACATGGATGAAATTGGAAATCATCATTCTCAGTAAACTATCACAAGAACAAAAAACCAAACACCGCATATTCTCACTCATAGGTGGGAACTGAACAATGAGAACACATGGACACAGGAAGGGGAACATCACACTCTGGGGCCTGTTGTGGGGTGGGGGGAGGAGGGAGGGATAGCATTGCGAGATATACCTAATGCTAGATGACGAGTTAGTGGGTGCAGCGCACCAGCATGGCACATGTATACATATGTAACTAACCTGCACATTGTGCACATGTACCCTAAAACTTAAAGTATAATAAAAAAAAAAAAAAAGAGATGGGGGTCTTGTTGTCCAGGCTGGCTTGAAACTCCTAGGCTCAGGTGATCCTTCTGCCTCAGCCTCCCAAGTAACTGGAACTACAGATGTGCGTTAACAGTGCTCAGCATTGTTCTTTTTCTTTTTTTTTGAGACAGGGTCTCGCTGTCTCCCAGGCTAGAATGCAGTGGTATGATCTCGAACCTCCCTGGCTCAAGCAATCCTCCTACCTCAGCCTCCCAAGTAGCTGGGAATACAAGTACATGCCACCATGCCTGGCTAATTTTAAAATGTTTCATAGACATTGGGTCTCACTATGTTGCCCAGGCTGGTCTCAAACTCCTGGGCTCAAGGAATCCTCCTGCTTCGGGCTCCCAATACTGCTGGGATTACAGGAGTGAGCCACAGTGCCTGACTGCTGTTGTTTTTTTTTTATAGTTTATATTGTTTTTGAGATTTATCCACATTGGCGCATAACTCTAGTTCACTCATCTTCACTCTTGTATAGTATTTTATTCATGAGCATTCCACAGCTTATCTATTCTTTTCTTTCTTTTTTAAAGAGACAAGGTCTCACTTTGTTTTTGGGGCTGGAGTGGAGTGGTGTGATCATAGCTCACTGCAACCTTGAACTCCGTAGAGGCACAAGCCACCATGCCTGGCTAATTTTCTTTTTTTTTTTTTTGAGATGGAGTCTCGCTCTGTCACCCAGGCTGGAGTGCAGTGGCGCGATCTCGGCTCACTGCAAGCTCCGCCTCCCGGGTTCATGCTATTCTCCTGCCTCAGCCTCCCCAGCAGCTGGGACTACCAGGCGCCCACTACCACGCTTGGCTAATTTTTTTGTATTTTTAGTAGAGACAGGGTTTCACCGTGTTAGCCAGGATGGTCTCGATCTCCTGACCTCGTGATCCACCCGCCTCGGCCTCCCAAAGTGCTGGGATTACAGGCGTGAGCCACTGCGCCTGGCTGGCCGCCCGGCAAATTTTTAAAGTTTTGTAGAGCCAGGGTCTCATTATGTTGGCCAGGCTGGTCTCAAACTCCTGGGCTCCAGCGATCCTCCCCACTTGGCCTCACGAAGTGTTGGGAATTATACGTGAGCTTCTGTACCCAGTTTTTTTTTTTTTTTTTTTTTTTTTTTTTGGAGACAGGGTCTTGCTTTGTAGCCCAGGCTGGAGTACAGTGGCATGACCTCAGCTCACTGAAACCTCCGCCTCCTGGGCTCAAATGATTCTCCTGCCTCAGCCTCCAGAGTAGCTGGGAATATGGGCACCCGCCACCATGCCTGGCTAATTTTCATATTTTAGTAGAGACAGGGTTTCACCATGTTGAGGATCACTCCTGACCTCAAATGATCTGCCTGCCTCGGCCTCCCAAAGTTCTGGGATTACAGGCATGAGCCACCATGCCTGGCCATCCTTTATGGCTTAAGAAAAGCCATTTCTTCTGGCTGTCTGCAATTTTTTGCTATTACGTACATAAGAAGATGCCAATACTTGACTCCAATAGTAGCTGAACTTCTCTATAGCAATCTTTTTCTTTCTTTTTTTTTTTACCAGAACCCATAGCACGAGATAGATTTTATCTAGCGTACAGTATGCACACATATACCACATATACATATACACACATATAACAGCGAAAAAAGTTTTGTGAAGCAGTACCCAATTTTTTCTACATATTCATGCTAATATTTTATAATTTCTTTCTTTTTTTTTTGAGACAGAGTCTCACTCTATCACCCAGGCTAAAGTGCAGTGGCACCATCTCAGCTCACTGCTACCTCTGCCTCCTGGGCTCAAGCAATCTTCCCACCTCAGCCTCCCGAATAGCTGAGACTACAGGTGTATGCCACCACACCTGGTTAATTTTTTTACTTTTTGTGGAGACAGGGTTTCACCATGATGCCCAGGCTGGACTGGAAATCCTAGGCTGAAACAATCCACTTGCCTCAGCCTCCCAAGGTGTTGGGATTACAGGCATGAGCCACCGTGCCCAGCCTATAGTTTCTTCTGTTACACTAAAAAATATACTCGGGGGTTGGGTGTGGTGGCTCATGCCTATAATCCCAGCACTTTGAGAGGCCAAGGTGGGAGGATCACTTGAGCCCAGGAGTTCAAGACTAGCCTGGGCAACATGGTGAGACCTCATCTCTACTGAAATTTTAAAAAACTGGCCATGTGAGGTGTTGCATGCCTGTAGTCCCAGCTACTTGAGGGTGCTGAGGCAGGAGGACTGCTTAAGCCCAGGAGGTCGAGGCTGCAGTGAGCCCTGATTGTGCCACTGCACTCCAGCCTGGGTGACAGAGCAACACCTTGCTTCAAAAACAGAACAAAACAAAACACAAAAAACCCCCCAAACCCACCAGGCATTGTGATCCTTTAAACCAATTTAATTACCTGTAGAATGTGATCTCCAGGTTAAAAGACTGTGTTGTAAGAGTATGAACAACCTGGATTTTACCAGATATTGTCAAGTTGCCCTCCAAAGTGATGACCAATTTATACCCTTAGTAGTTCAGTATGAGAATTCCCATTGCTTCATGGTCTTAACTATTCTTGGCATTGTCAAGCTCATTAAAAAATTTTTGCCAATCTAATGGGCACTAAATGACAACTCACTGTGAATTTAAGAATTATGTTTTTCTTACAGATGTGAAGTTCTTTATGCATTTTGAAAATAAGCCCTTTGTTGATTATGTATGTCTGTTTACTTTGTTAATGATATCTTTTGCTATACACAAATATTCAATTTCATTAAGATATTCTCTGTATTTTCTCTTTTTTTTTTTTTTTGAGACAGAGTTTTGCTCTTGTTGCCCAGGCTGGAGTGCAATGGCGTGATGTAGGCTCACTGCAACCTCCGCCTCCTAGGTTCAAGCGATTCTCCTGCTTAAGCCTCCCAAGTAGCTGGGATTACAGGCACCTGCCACCACAGCCGGCTAATTTTGTATTTTTAGAAGAGATAGGGTTTCTCCATGTTGGTCAGGCTGGTCTCGGACTCCTGACCTCAGGTGATCTGCCTGCCTCGGCCTCCCAAAGTGCTGGGATTACAGGCCACCGAGCCCGGACAAGATATTCTCTGTATTTTCTATTAAAAGTTTAGACACTCTAACTGGAACTGATTTTTGTGTGAGAGAAAGACCAAAACAACCCCCCCAAAAATGATAAATAGTTTTGTATGATTTTCACAACTAACTGGCCAAGAAATCTTTAAACAACAAACAGATGAATCTTCAGTATACCAATCTAGAACAGATCTAGTTTACCTCCTTCCTACCTTAGAGCCACTCGATACTTCTGCCCCAATTTCTCAATTTCAGCCATTACACAATCGGTTATACATGGGATACCTGCCAGGGAAAAAAATTCACATTAAGAACAGAACTTGTAACGAAATTATCTCTGAATTATATCCCTGCTCAGAGTTTTAAAAAGACCCAGGACACTTTTGCAATGACAGCAGAATTAGCACACTGAAATATACAAGAAGAACTAGAGTAGAAGAAAACCCTAAGAAACTAAGATTGTCCCAACCCCAAACTGCAGATTCCCTGTTATAAACATATCTGGGGAAAAAAAACTAAGCTGAACTCTGTCATTATTTTTATATTAATGTAAGTTCCTGATGGGAAAAAAATTATTTATTTTTATTATTTTTTTGAGACAGAGTCTTGCTCTGTTGCCCAGGCTGGAGCGCAGTGGCACGATCTCAACTCACTGCAGCCTCAAACTCCTGGGTTCTAGTTATCCTCCTGGGTTCTAATGATTCTCCCACCTCAGCCTCCCGAGTAGCGAGGACCACAGGTACGCACCACTATGCCCAGCTAATTAAAAAAAAACATTTTTTTTTTGTAGAGATGGGGCTTTGCCATGTTGCCCAGGCTGTCTTGAACTCCTGGGATCAATCATTCCTCCTGTCTTGGGCTCCCAAAGTGCTGGGATTACAGGTGTGAGCCACTGTGCCTGGCTCAGATGAAATAAAATTTAAATGTGAACCACAAGAAACCATGAAATTAGCCAGATAATGTAAATCTGATCACATAAAAATTTTAAAAACTTCTGTTTGACAACTATCAAACAGAAAGCCATATAATAGTTTAAAAAAAAATCATCATCCCTATTTTATAGGTGAGGAACCTGAGACACAAAGAAGTTAACTAAATAGATAGCAAATGGTAAAGCCAACATTTGAACGGAGTCTATTGGGCCAAAGACTGGGAAGAGTGGCACCTAGAAGAGTGGCAAAGATTAAACAGATGAAAATATCCAATATTGGCCGGGCGTAGTGGCTCACGCCTATAATCCCAGCACTTTGGGAGGCTGAGGCAGGCGGATCACCTGAGGTCAGGAGTTCGAGACCAGCCTGGCCAACATGGTGAAACCCGTCTCTACTAAAAATAAAAAAAATAGCTGGGCATGGTGTTGGGCACCTGTAATCCCAGTTACTTGGGAGGCTGAGGCAGGAGGATCAGTTCAACCCAGCAGATGGAGGTTGCAATGAGCCAAGATCGTGCCATTGCACTCTAGCCTGAGTGACAAGAGTGAAACTCCATCTCAAAAAAAAAAAAAAAAAAGAAAATACCCAATATTGAGGAAACAAGTATTCTCATACTAAGTTTGTAGGTATATACATTGGTACAACTATTTGAGGGCAAATTTGCAATACCTATTAAAAATACACAAATCCCTTGATACATAATACAGCTTCCAGACAATGTATCCTAAAGAAATACACTCTTAGGGAGACATATTCATAAGGATATTTACTACAGACTTGTTAATTGGGTAGAACCTGGAAATAACCAAAATACCTAATAAGATACTGGGTTTAAAAAATTATGTATTTAAACAATAGAATAGTATGTAACTTTACACCTGATCTTAGCCAAAAGGCTGAGAAGCAATTATAGTATGTAACTTTATTCATTCTTTATTTTTTTTTGAAGTCTCACTTTGTTGCCCAGGCTGGAGTGCAGTGGCGTAATCTCTGCCTCCCAGGTTCAAGCGATTCTCCTGCCTCAGCCTCCCAAGTAGCTGGGATTACAGGCGCCCTCCACCACGCCCAGCTAATTTTTGTAGTTTTAGTAAAGACAAGGTTTCACCATGTTGGTCAGGCTGGTTTCGAACTCCTGACCTGAAGCAATCCACCTGCCTCGAACTCCCAAAATGATGGGATTATAGGCGTGAGCCACCGTGCCCGGCCATACATAACTTTAAAAAAGAATTCCTGGCCAACATGGCAAAACCCCATCTCTACTAAAAATATAAAAATTAGGGCTGGGTGTGGTGGCTCATGCCCGTAATCTCAGCACTTTGGGAGGCCAAGGCAGGCAGGTCACCTGAGGTCAGGAGTTCAAGACCAGTCTGGTCAACATGGTGAAACCTCATCTCTACTAAAAATACAAAAAAATTAGCTGGGCGTGGTGGCACATGCCTGTAGTCCCAGATACTCAGGAGGCTGAGGCAGGAGAATCACTTGAAGCCTGGAGGCAGAGGTTGCAGTGAGCCGATATTGCACCACTGCACTCCAACCCGGGTAACAGAGTGAGGCTCTGTCTCAAAAAAAAAAAAAAAAAATTAGGTGGGTGTGGTGGAACACACCTGCAATCCCGGCTACTGGGAGGCTGAGGCATGAGAATTGCTTGAACCCGGGAGGCAGAGGCTGTAGTGAGCTGAGATTACACCACTGCACTCCAGCCTGGGTGACAGAGTGACAGCCTGTCTCAAAAAAAAAAAAAAAAACAAACCCCAAAAACTTGGGCAACATGATTGATACCTTGTTTCTACAAAACATAAATAAATAAAATAGCCAGGCATGGTGGCTCTTTCCAGTAGTCTCAGCTACTTGGGAGGCTGTGGCTGCAGGATCACTTGAGACCTGGAGGTTGAGGCTGCTGTAAGCTATTGGCTCAGACCACTGCATTCCAGCTTGGATGACATAGCAAGACCTTGACTCAAAATAAAAGAATGAGGCCCATTTATATATACATGCCATGGAAAAATGTTCAAAATATATAGTTCAATGTAAAAAGCAAGTAGAAATGATTAAAATGTGATCTATCCATACAGTGGAATATTATTTAGTAATAAAAAGAAATGAAGTACTGATACAAACTGTAATATAAATGATCCTTGAAAACAGTACGTTAAATGAAAAAGGACCAAATATTATAAGATTCTATTTTTATGAAATGTCCAGAATAGGGAAATTTATAGAAACAGAAAGTAGATTAGTGGTTGCCTAGAAATAGAGAGAATGGTGAGGGTTGCAGGGTGATGGCTAAGGGTCTCCAGGTTTCTTCCTGGGATAATGGAAGTTCTAAAATTGACTATGGTGATGGATGATGCACAACTCTGTGAATCCACTAGAAGTCACTGAACTGTACACTTTAAAGGGATGAATTGTATAGTTGTAAAGGGAGTCAATTATATTTCAGTAAATCTGTTTTATAAAGCAAAAAATAATACAGGATCCATTTTCTTTTTTTATTTTTTTGAGACGGAGTTTCGCTCTTGCAATGGCACGATCTTGGCTCACTGCAATTTCTGCCTCTGGGGTTCAAGCGATTTTCCTGCATCAGCCTCCCGAGTAGCTGGAATTATAGGGACCTGCCACCACGCCCGGCTAATTTTTTTTGGATTTTTAGTAGAGACAGAGTTTTGCCATGTTGGCCATGCTGGTCTTGAACTCCAGACCTCAGGTAGTCCGCGTGCTTCGGCCTCCCAAAGTGCTGGGATTACAGGCCATTTTCATTAATAAATAAAAGTAACCCTCCATCTCACACAGATTTATGAATTTTTATAATTGCTCCTTTGAGGAAATGCATTATAAGCAACTTCCTTTTTTTCCCCCTTTTGAGACAGGTTCTTGTTCCGTCACCCAGGCTGGAGGGCAGTGACATGGACATAGCTCAGTGCAGCCTCGACCTCCCAGGCTTAAGTGATCCTCCCACCTCAGCCTCCCAAGCAGCTGGGACCATAGACATGCTCCACCATGCTCAGCTAATTTTTGTGGTTTCTTTTGGTAGAGATAGGGTTTTGCCATGTTGGCCAGGCTGGTCTCAAACTCCTGGGCTCAAGCAATCCACCCACCTTGGCCTCCCAAAGCGTTGGGATTACAGGCATGAGCCACCATGCCCAGCTTGATTTAAAAAAAATTTTTTTTGTAGAGATGCGGTCACACCATGTTGCCCAGGCTGGTCTTGAACTCCTGAGCTCAAGCCCAGAACTCCTCCCACCTCGGCCTCCCAAACTGCTGGGACTACGGGGTGAAGATCTCGCCCAGCCCAACTTTCTTTTCTTCTTCTTCTTCTTTTTTTTTTTTTTAAAGACAGGGTCTTGCTCTGTTGCCTGGGCTGGAGTGTAGTGGCATAATCACAATTCACTGTAGCCTCAGCCTCCCAGGCTCAAGTGATCCTCCCACCTGAGCATCTGTAGCTAGGACCACAGGTGCATGCCACGATGCATGCTTTTTTTTTTTTTTTTTTTTTTTGAGACAGAGTCTCGCTCTCTCACCCAGGCTGGAGTGCAGTGGCACGATCTCGGCTCACTGTAGCCTCTGCCTCCCAGGTTCCAGAGATTCTCTTCCCTCAGCCTCACAGGTAACTGGGATTACAGGCACATGGTGCTGCGCCTGGCTAATTTTTGTATTTTTAGTAGAGATGGGGTTTCACCATGTTGGCCGGGCTGATCTCGAACTCCTGAAAAGCACTAGGATTACAGGTGTGAACCACCGCACCTGGCCCCCTGGCTAATTTTTAAATTATGTGTAGACATGGGGTCTCGTTATGTTGCCCAGGCTTCAACTTCCATTTTTTTATGCTAGAATTTTTTAGAAGTATATTAATACTGGCCAGGCGTGGTGGCTCATGCCTATAATCCCAGCACTTTGGGAGGCCAAAGTGGGCGGAATGCTTGAGGTCAGGAGTTCGATACCAACCTGGCCAACATAGAGAAACCCCGTCTCTACTTTACACAAAAATTAGCTGGGAGTGGCAGCATGCACCTATAATCCCAGCTACTCGGGAGGCTGAGGCAGGAGAATCACTTGAACCTGGGAGGCAGAGGTTGCAGTGAGCAGAGATCACCCCACTGTACTCCAGCCCGGGCCACAGAGTGAAACTTTGTCTCAATATATATATATATTTTAATACTGAGATCATGAAACAAGGCAATGTGTTCTTTAAGAGGACCAATTTCAGAGCCATGTAGCAGTGAAGTGAGCAAAGGCTTGCAACTGAAGTAGGGAAGCAGGCTCAGGAAAACCACTACAAGGAAAGGGAAAGTAACAGCCTCAGGATTCATAGGCAGAAGAGAAAGCCAATGGGAAGCAAACTATCCTTCCTTGTTGGACTATAAAGTGGAAATAGAAGAGACCAGGAACCATGTAAAGATCAAACAGGCCTTTTCAAGGTAAGAGGAAGAGAAAGGCCTTCCTTTAAGTATAAAGGCAAGCAAGGCCAGGCACGGTGGCTCACGCCTGCAATCCCAGCACTTCGGGAGGCCGAGGTGGGTGGATCACCTGAGGTCAGGAGTTTGAGACCAGCCTGACCAATATGGTGAAACCCGCCTCTACGAAAAATACAAAAATTAGATAGGCGTGGTGGCATGTCCTAGCTACTGGGGTGGCTGAGGCAGAAGAACTGCTTGAACCTGGGAGGCGGAGGTCGCAGTGAGCTGAGATCACGCCAACGCACTCCAGCCTGGGTGACAAAGCAAGACCCTGTCTCAAAAAAAAAAGTATACATATTTAAAGAAAGCCATAAGACTAAAGCTATCCTGCCTAAAGCTCTAACAGTCACTATCTAGATATTACTGGTGGAGGTATAGAGTCAAGGAAGCAATTCATCAAGGAAGCAAAGGGCCATGCTTTGACCCTCTATCCGTTTCATTGATAAGTAGGTCACAGCATTCCTGGAGAAGCAGCTCAATTAGAAATACCATGGGAAATACAAAGAGACTACCAAGTTTAGTGTCTTCCCCCATATGGGGTCACCCAAGCCTCATTCTTAGAGGCCTGGTAGCACCTCAACTTTAGATTATTTCTAAAAGATTTATTTCAAAAGTTTATGTATATAGCTTTAAAAAGTAATACAGAAAGGCCTATATGAAAAAACAATGGTCCCCTGACCATTGCCACCCAATCAATTCTGATCTGTAGAGAAGACTATTTTATTCCATTAGCTCCATTTTTTTCTCATCTGATGGCTACCTTCACATCTTAATAAACGTATGCAGCTAATAAATGTATGCAGCCATTCTTTTTTTTTTTTAGATGGAGTTTCTCTTGCCAGGCTGGAGTGCAGTGGCACAATCTCGGCTCACTGCAAGCTCCACCTCCCAGGTTCCAGCGATTCTCCTGCCTCAGCCTCCCAAGTAGCTGGGACTACAGTCACGTGCCACCACGCCCAGCTAATTTTTGTATTTTTAGTAGATATGGGGTTTCACCTTGTTGGCCAGAATGGTCTCGATCTCGACCTCATGATCCGCCTGCTTTGGCCTCCCAAAGTGCTGGCATTACAGGCGTGAGCCACCGCGAGTGCTGGGATTACAGGTATGAGCCACTGCGCCCGGCTGCAGCCATTCTTAATTAATTTTTGGGCATCTAAAGAATCTGCTTTCTTACCCCTTCACACATTCCTTAACCCCATCTTCTCATCTTGCTCATTTTAATAAATCAGTAAACAACATTTACCATTTCTATCACTCTGCAACTGTTGTTCATTATATAGTAGCCTTTAAAACTTAAAAAGGGAGGTACAAATTTTTCCCTTTGATTCCAGTAATTTATCCTCTATGGCAAAGTTTAAGTCTAATTTTCATTCGTACCTCTAACCGGGTGACTGAAAAATATATAAATATAAACCCGCTACAAATGGGACAGATCTTACTATGATAGGCTTCATAGATGGCCTTACTTTTCTTTTTCCTGTTCATGGTAGTGAAGGAAGATCATTTAAAGGAGGGGATATACAAATACACAAGGGAAATCTATTAATGGTAAATTGCATACCTAGGTGTAAATAAACTACCTCAGATCCTCTGTACTACGAATAAATACCAAACTGAATAAACTTAGGAATTGACCATCATCTATCTAACTTCTAGGGCTGTGATCATAAATGGCAGAATGTCTTATTTAGTGTTTCAACACTGGGGCAAAAGGGAGAACATATCCTTGTTAACATAAAAGAATATAGATACTGAAAAATAGATTTTTCATTTATCTAGAATTTTAAAATCTAGAATTCTAAAACAGAAAATTCCCCTATGTTCAAAATTGATGTCCATAATGATACTCGAAGCATTCTAAGTGTTTTCTGAATTGTGAAAGTTTAATTTTTTCCAGTCAAGTTTGCATTATACTTCAATTCATTAAACATGGTCACTGCTATGGTGACCACTGTAAATTAAATGGCCAGCAATTCAGTTAACAAGAACCCCATCTCCCTCCTTTCATGTATTTGTATAAATATAATTATTCTGAACAAATGTCACGGAAACATAAAAGTATGATACTCACACTTGGCATACAGACAGTCCATCATTGACTGCACTAAGTCCAGTTTGGCTTTTATGGAAAAGTTGATAAAGTTGGTATCAACGAGGATGTGGTAAGGTGGGCCCAGCTGTGTATTATATTGGAAAAATAAGCAGGAAGGGTGTTGGGGACTGAAGGAAAAAGAAAACAAGAACAAAGAAAAATTTACATTGATACCCTAGTATTAACAAAAACAAAAAAGAAGTCTGCTTGGGACTGTTTGCTGTAAACTCTTTTGTCCATGTTCATTGGAAATAAATCCTAAAAAGGAAGGCAAGGAAGAAAGTAATATCATTATCTTAATCTCAGCTCCCCTGGCAACCTTTGTCACCAACTTTAAAAAAGCAATTATCAAAAACAAACAAACAAAAAAAGCAATTATCCAATCTAGCTCTTCCTCTAGCAAAAGTAGAATCACCATGGGCACAGGGAGGTAGAATACAGTTATCGTGATTAGAATGATACAACAACACGTTTGTCATTCTTAAAGGATTCTAAAACTGCTGTTATGGAATGTGATAGAGAACAGTTTGTCTAGTGTTAGGATTATATACTACAGCAGGACCTGTATCACATCTAGCCCAAGTTGTCTGGGTTGAATATGACAGTGATTCCAAATGCTAGGCCATGGATCAGTATCTACCTGTGATAATATGTCCATTACCAATCCAGGGAAAAATTAGAAAAATAAGGAAAATGTGGTAAAGTTTTCATAAAGTTAAATGTACTTACTTAAAAGGAATGAAATACCTTTATATCTTTATATAAAGGTCATATCTTTATATAAATATCTTTATTCTGAAAATATATTTTAAATATTTTTTGGTGATACAGTCTCTCTTTTATGAACTGCTGGTGTGTTAAACAATGGCACTTATGTCTCTTAAAAGATCCCTGGCAAAGAAAAAGTTAATAATCCTAGATAATATCTCCAGGATTTTAGGGGAAATTTTACTGCTCCATAAAATCCCAAAACCTTCAAACCACTAGAATTGATATATGCTCATCGATATGACTTTCATCTACATAGTTGTGCTAGACTTACTAACAAATAAGTTAGCAAACCAGCTCAGGGAAAGCCTGGATTTCTAAGAGGTCTATGGTTTTAAAGGAAAACTTCAAACGTTTGATTACTCACACTTCTCTTTCCTTTAATGCGCTGGGATCCTTCTTTTCTTTCTTTTTAGGTTTTAATCTATCCTTTTCTTTACTAGGAAGAAAAAGGTAAATTAAATCCAAGGGAGAAGAAAAACCACAGCAATTAAAATCTCAAAAATCTAAAGTTCCATTTTTTTTTTTTTTTGGTCTACTGAAGAAATCCTACTTTGTGATATCCTCATGTTAATATCAGCATACTCTTTCTGAGCAAATAACTCTAGTGCAAAGCACAGTACCTGGAAGTATCAGAATTAACCAGTAATGCCAATAATGCATAAGAATTGTTAATGAGTAAATAAAAGCTGATTATACTATATTTATTTTTTAGTCAGAATCTCTCACATCAAGGATCACAATCCACTTCCAAGCAATGGGTAAAAGGGTGACAGTTATCTTCTGAAGATTCAGATGCTTTAACTTTTGGGGGAAAAGTATTACCCCATATGCTTCTTATAAAGGGCTAAAATGTAAAAACGCATATACAGAACTTAACCCTTAACTAGAAAGAAATTATTATTAATGGAGTGTCATTCCTAAAAATTACACAATACATCCACACTAAAGGCTGAGAATAATAATTCTGAAGGTTTTAACGACTATTCTCTTATTCTGAGACTCTTTTTTGTATTTTTAGTGGAGACAGGGTTTCACCGTGTTGGCCAGGCTGGTTTTGAACTCCTCACCTCAGGTGATCCACCCGCCTCAGCCTCCCAAAGTGCTGGGATTACAGGCGTGAGCCACTGCGCCCGGCTTTCTGAGACTCTTAAACTCAGTGAAGATCAGTCTTTATTTAATAGCTATGCTTATTCTACACTTAAGCAGGGACACCGCTTTGATCCTCTTCATACTAGGGAATTTCACTTCACTTTCTTCTTCCACAGTGATTTGGATTCTTATATTAGTAAGACTTATAAAATGGAGATATCTTGGAGTTTTCCCATTTTCTCTGACAAAAATATTTGAGTACCAGGCACTGGAAACGCCAGACAAACAAGGTCTCTAACCTTGCCATCTTTCAACAAGAAACACTCCCCTCGCCCCACCCCAGGGGAATGTAGTAGTGTAATGGTAAAAACATAAAGAGAACTATACGGACTTCACCGAACTGACATGAGGTTTAAATGCGATATGGCAGACAAAGCATATAACGGTAGAAAAAGTGAACACTTAAGAAATGTTTAATTCCCATCGCCTTTCCCAGTGTGATCGCTCAGCAGCTAAATTACTGTTAAACACTGGCTATCTCATGCTATATAAATCTAAGACACGATAATAAGCAAAAAACAAAATAATAACAACAAACATTTTTACTACTTATCCTCTCTAGACTCTTATTAGAATATCCCTGGGCAGTTGATTCCAGACACTCACAGCCTCTGATCTCTGAGACTAAGCATTCGCTTCATGGTCGCATACTTCCTTGTTTTCTTTTGCTTCCCCTTGAAACAGAAATTTTAGAATTAAAAAAGTTGGAAACACACGGCATCTTTTAAAGTCTCTTCTTTTCTCTTGTCTATTGCCTTCCCTTCTTGCCTCAAATAACCCAGACCCTCTTCCCCACTCTGTAAAGCATAACAGTCACCGCTTGGAGAAGTTTAAGAGCTAAGACCAGAATGAAAATATGCTAGGATAATGTGAAGGAAATTTGGCCACGGTCTGACTACCTCCTTCTCCACCCAAAAAGTGGCCTGATAACGTCCCTTCTTGGACCGTCTTCTCTCACCATGGTCACGCCAAACTCCTGGTTCTTCCGTAATCACCAACGGCGCAATACTTCTACGTCATTCACATACTGCTTCCGGCAAAGGATAGCCCGGAAGCGGAAACTCCTTGGGGAAAGGGCAATCCCCCGAGCCGGTTCCCAGGCCGGGTGGAGACCAACTCTGGGGTCTGTTGGTGGGAGAGTGGGGAGCCCGTCTTCTGCTGAGTGCTGCCGCCCCTTCCCAGGACAGCGGAGGTGGAACTTCGTCGCGCTGCAACCCCCGGCTCGGGTAACGTTTCTCTCCAGCCTTAGGCAGAGCCCAGAAGACCTGCCTTTACCAGAGTTCCAGAGAGAGAGGGAGGAAAAGGGTAGGGGGGTTCAGACTCCTGGTTTGCCCAGTAGTTTGGGGGAACACATTCTCCTCACCCTGTAGCGTTGGGGTATCCGGTGTCTATGGTCCAGCCCTGAGGCTGTGGTTCCTATTTGGTTTTCCTAGCCGATATGGTGCTTTGTGCAGCTAGGTGGATGATTGTTCTCGAGTATATACCGTGTACTCCTCTCGGTGAAGAGAGAAATGAAGCAGTGTTTGAGGGCCTAGACTATCGCTAGAGAATTGGGGCATAAGCTTGCATATGTTACTACTTACCCAAGCCAAGAAAATGGTGAGATACAATGCACATTTATTGTGAAGCCTTGGTGTGTCATCTTTAAGTAAAAAGGGAGAATTTGTGAGAACAAGGAGCGAAAGGTAGCTTTTTTCTTTGAGTACCTGCTATGTATTCCAGTGGTTCTTAACTTTTTGGAGATAACTTATTTCTTGAAAGTTTGTGGAAAGCCAGGAACAATTCTTTAAAAAATGGGCACACATACAGTTTGTAATACACTTAATGAGATTGGTGGACTCTGAAGCCCATCCGTGGACCCTCTGGGTGTCTGTAAACTTTAAATGAAAACCCCCATCCTGTATACTGTACTTGTCACTTTATTCATATTACCTTCTTTGACCTTCTCAATAACATAAATTCTTTTATTTTACATATGGGGAAATTGAGCCCCAGACTTTGTTCAGGGGTCTGTTTGAGTCTCGTGATTCCAAAGTCTGTACTTGTATTTCTTTTTTTCTTTTTCTTTCTTTCTTTCTTTCTTTTTTTTTCTTTTTTTTTTTTTTTTTTTTTTTTTTTTTGCACTTTGTCTTCCATTCTCCAGCTACTGATCAAGCTGGGAACGGAATGGGTACCTCTGTCATACTTTTCTTATTGCATGATGCTATCCTAGAGTTGGAAGTAAAATATGTTATCAGGTTTAAAAAAGAAGGTGACCATTGTATAACCCTTATGATGAAAACACGTTTATTGTTTAACACGAACTTTGGAGTCTGACTGATGGGGTTAAAATCCTTGCTCTGCCTTATAACTCGCCATGACATTGGGTGAGTTAATCTATCTGCATCTCAGTTTCTTTATCTGTAAAATGGAGATAATCATAGTAGCACTCTTTTATTGGGATGTTATCAGGACTTATGTTTATTCATAGTTAACATGCGAGGTCCCTAGAAGAGTGTAAACCAGACTACTCAGAGTGTTTTCTGTTGTTACCATTGTGTGTCTTCCAACTTGAGGATGTGTGGCAGGGTTGGAATTTTATGCCAATTTTATTTTATTTTATTTTATTTTATTTTTGAGACAGAGCCTCCCTCTGCTGCCCAGGTTGGAGTGCAGTGGCGCAATCTCGGCTCACAGCAACCTCCCCCTCCCAGGTTCAAGCAATTCTCCTGCCTCAGCCTCCCGAGTAGCTGGGACTGCAGGCATGTGTGTGCCACCATACCTTGCTAATTTTTGTATTTTTAATAGAGATGGGTTTCACCATGTTGGCAAGGCTGGTCTCAAACTCCTGACCTCAGGTGATCTGCCCACCTCGGCCTCCCAAAGTTCTGGGATTACAGACGTGAGCCACTGTGCCAAGCCCCAATTTTTTTTTTTTTTTTTTGAGACGGAGTTAGTTTCGCTCTTGTTACCCAGGCTGGAGTGCAATGGCGCAATCTCGGCTCACTGCAACCTCCACCTCCCAGGTTTAAGCGATTCTCCTGCCTCAGCCTCCTGAGTAGCTGGGATTACAGGCGTGCGCCAACACGCCTGGCTGATTTTATATTTTTAGTAGAGACGGGGTTTCTCCATGTTGGTCAGACTGGTCTTGAACTCCCGACCTCAGGTGATCCGCCCACCTTGGCCTCCCAAAGTGCTGGGATTACAGGCGTGAGCCACCGTGCCTGGCACCAGCCCAATTTTATTTTAACATAGTTGCACTGGAACTTGAACGTGTTCATAAACCTCAAAACATTAAGTTTTCAGGTCCTGGGATGCTCAATCGCAGGGTGATTTCTTCTGTTGATTTGGGTGTAAACTTTTTCTGCTTCTCCTTTCTCTTTCAGGCACACATTCATTTAGATGGCTTAATAGTTTACATATCTGTGGGCACTGAATTTTTGATGTAGAAATGGTAGCTACAGATACTGTATGTGCCTTCTGCTTTACCCCATTTGTGGTCACTAGAAGTTCCTAATCTTTCTGGAGCAGCTTGTCTCTGTCAAGCTGCCATTCATGTGTAGAGCTAATAGCAACCAGTTTTTTGATGTATCTCTTGGTGATTAGACAATAAGCTTTTTATTGTCTAAAAGCTAAAATAACATGGTCAGTTATTCTTCTTAAACATTTGACTCATTAGTATTATATATAGGTTCAGAGGGAAAATTGCATATCATTAAATAGTAATTTGCATTTAAATTTAGGCACTGACAGAAAAACGCTCTTCTGGTAATGTGTACTTTGAATTTTGGAATCCATGAACAACAACAACTTAAAAAAAGGCCATTTGTAATTTCTATTGTAACCTCTATTGAGAGTGTTCTGATTTCCTTGATTGTTAATACCTAATAGGGAGCTAAATTAGTGTAGGAACACCATGGGGGATAAGAACATACTTAGAAAAATTTGTTTTTGTTGCATTGTAATTTTATTGCAATCTGAGGTTCTTATAGCGTGAAATGAAAGTGGTCAGATACTCTACAGCATTCTTTGATGGGGATGGAAAGTGGGGGATGCGAAGCTGGGAGGTAGTGTTGATTTGTGATGGATGGGAGCAGAAAGTAATTGCTTTTGGGCACATACTTGTGAGGAAAAGAAATGATTTTAGTCCTTCTCAGCAGTCAAGAGGGTTGTTTTGCATTTTTCTGCAGTCTTGAAGAGAAAAAATCACCCAAGGCATTGGACACACAGTTTGAACACATAATTGGGCTTGGACTTCATTCCATTCACTAATTGGTCTAACTTACTAATTTAAGTTGGTATCAAATTTCTTTGTAAAATTATTCTGGATAATGAAAGACTCCTTAAAGAACATCTTGTATTTCAATGTTAGAAAGTTATAAGTAGATTCACTTTTTTGTCCATTTTCAAGTTATAGTTTTTACATTTATTTTTCTGACTTACATGATAGGACTTTTTTTCTCCCAACAAACATTAGTCGCTGTTAATTATTTTTCAATTAACTTGCCTGCCCCTAAATGTGGTAGCATGGCATACAGCATGTTCTGCTTCTGAGGTCTTGATATTGAATTGGTTTGTAAGAATACCTCAGAGATAGATTACTGCCGCTTGGTCATTCATTCAGAAAGCATTTATTGAGGGCCCATTCTGTCCTGGGCAATCTCACCACAGTCCTGTATTACAGAAAGACTTGTAAATAGGTAAAGTATGGTTGGTGGCTGAATAGAGATGTGGGAGTTGAAATATTTTAGAGGAATTACTCTTCTTGTTCATCTTTCTGTAAGTGGTCCAGGTCAGAGTACTGTTGTGTAATATTTATTTAATACTATCAACATATTAGTACCATGTAATAGATCAGATTTTATGACCTTAATGGACTCTAGTGTATCATTTTACCTTTTATTTATTATTTATTAGATCTTGCTATGTTGCCCAGGCTGATCTTGAACTCCTGGCCTCAAGCCATCCTCCCACCTCAGCTTCCTGAGTAGCTGGGAGAAGAGGCATGAGCCACTGTGCCTGACCGTTTTACCTTTTAAATGACTTTAGCTATTAACTAACTTGGGTTTAAATTTCAGTTATTTTTCTTTGGTTTCTTTTTCTTTGAAGGGTTCTGAATGCTTAGCCTTCACTAATGTTCTTTCATATAGTAGTTTTCAAACTTTTGAGGTTGTTTAACCTTATTGCAGTTTGTGTGTATGTATGTGTGTGTACACACACGCATGCCTGAGCTGTTGATATGGTGTTACAGCACCATAGTGATGTTTTCCTGGTGGCTCTTTTGAAGACTGTTCTACAAGATAGGGTTTATAGAGAAAGATGGGTATTCACTTAGCTATTAGAAACTAAATAGTCATGGTAGATACATGTTTTGTCATTTAGTCTAATTGAACGGTTCCATATGATTTTATGAGTTTTTGTTATCTTGAATAGTTGAGCAATTTGCATCATGTTTTTCAGAGCGAAGGCATTTATTTCAGTGCAGCTTGTTACTGTTGAGATGCCAATAGTTAACATCTGTTAATTGATTTTCTATATATTGTACTTTTTGGCCAGAGATTAGATAATTTATTAATATACAACATATTTTCTGTAATGTCCCCTTGCTTTTATCCAGAGACCCAGAGCATGTTATTTTAACCCCTCTCTTGTCCGCTTTGGGAAGTTCAAATTCAAGGTACCCCCGGTATATATGGTAAACCTATTAGGAACAGAAAACAGTTAAAACTTCCCAAGTGTGATCTAGTTTTTCATGTCTTGGTAAAGAAGAAATCCCAGGTGGGCTGTGCAAACAGTTCATAGAAAGGGGTTAAAAAAGATATTTAAAAAGTTTTAGGCTGGCATTACCTGAATTGGGGCAATGATTAGGGAGACATGATTAGAATTCTAAGGGGGAGTGAGAATGTAAAGGGGAGCACCATCTGTAATTAAATTGTTTTAAATTGTGGAATAATTTTAAATTTATAAAAAAGTTGCAAAGATAGTACAGAGTATTCCTGTATACCTTTCACCGGTGTCTCCTAATGTTAACTTCTTACATAACCATGGCACATACTGTCACATCTAAGAAATTAACATTGGTACAATACTATTACTAAACTATAGACTTTATTTGGATTTCACAAGTTTCTCCACTAATTTCCTTTTTCTATACCCAAACTGAATCTAGAATACCACATTCCAGTTAGATCATGTGTAATTTCTTTTTTTTTTTTTTTTTCTGAGGCGAAGGTCTCACTCTGTCGCCCAGGCTGGAGTGCAGTGGCGCCATCTCGGCTCACTGCAAGCTCCGCCTCCCGGGTTCACGCCATTCTCCCGCCTCAGCCTCCCAAGTAGCTGGGACTATAGGCGCCCGCCACCATACCCGTCTAATTTTTTTTTTTTTTTGAGACGAATCTCACTCTGTCGCCCAGGCTGGAGTGCAGTGGCGCGATCTCGGCTCACTGCAAGCTCCGCCTCCTGGGTTCACACCTTTCTCCTGCCTCAGCCTCCCAAGTAGCTGGGACTACAGGCGCCCACCACCACACCCAGCTAATTTTTTGTATTTTTAGTAGAGACGGGGTTTCACATGTTAGCCAGGAAGGTCTCGATCTCCTGACCTTGTGACCCACCTGCCTGGGCCTCCCAAAGTGCTGGGATTACAGGTGTGAGCCACTGTGCCCGGCCATTTTTTGTATTTTTAGTAGAGATGGGATTTCACCATTTTAGCCAGGGTGGTCTCGATCTCCTGACCTCGTAATCCGCCCACCTTGGCCTCCCAAAGTGCTGGGATTACCGGTGTGATCCACTGTGCCCGGCCTCTTTTTTTTTTAAAATGGAGTTTCGCTCTTGTCACCCAGGCTGGAGTGCAATGGCACCATTTTGGCTCACTGCCACTTCTGCCTCCTGGGTTCAAACTATTCTCCGGCCTCAGCCTCCCGAGTAGCTGGGATTACAGGCGCCTGCCACCACGCCTGGCTAATTTTTGTATTTTTAGTAGAGATGGGATTTCACCATGTTGGCCAGGCTGGTCTCGAAATTCTGACCTCAGGTGATCTGCCCGCCTCGGCCTCCCAAAGTGCTGGGATTATAGGCATGAGTCACTGTGCCCGACCAGATCGTGTATAATTTTGATAAATAAGTTGGTATTTCCAGTGAGTGCTTTTTCTGTGCTATGTATGTGGTCCAAGAATCCCCTCTGACGAGTGTTGAAGAGAGTCATTGACCCTGAGAATAAGTAATACTTCATAGGTAGTGTTTTGTATTCCTTGACCCCCAAAGCATTGTTAACTCTATGGAAGAGTTGACTTTGCTTCCAGGAGGGTGATGTGAACTTTCCTGAGAAGCTAAGAGCTGATCTTGATTAAGGTATCCATCCATACCCTCTATGCTCACCTCATAGATTTTACTACACGGAAGTATAACTACGTAATTATTTATTTGTCTGTCTTCTTTACTAAGCTTTTATGTTTCTAAAGTGTTGAGAATATTTTACTCATTCTGGAATCTTTAGGGTCCAACATATTGCTTGGCATGTGGTCGCTTCTTAATATGCATTTGAAGAAATTAATAGACCTTTCTTTGGTAAAACTGATTATTAGGTCAACAGAAATTTTGTTTTGAATAGGTAAGTGTTGAGTTTCTCCTTCAAATCCAGCTATCTTAGGGTGCCATTTCTGTGGCTAGTTGAGTTTTTCTTCTTGGAATCTTAACTACAAAATGCTCATTTAATTAACATTGTTTTTCCTTTCAATTATATAAATAATTTATTTTCCTTAAAAATAAGCACAGAATTGAAAGTAATGGATGGTAGTAGAGGCAGAGTTAGCTTTTAAGTATACGTGTGACCATTCCAGTTCCACCCGACTGGGCTGCAGATCTGGCTGTGTGCCTGCCACTTCAGGCGCAGTTAATGGAATAATAGCTTCCTAGACTTATTGAGGGAGACGGCTTGTCAGGTTCAAAGAATTACTTTTAAAATCTTCCTGTTATAGCCAAGATTCAGTGGTCCAAAGTCACCTAAGCATAAAAGCTGCCATGAGATGGGAACATGGGGGCCTGTCCTCTGTGGCTCAGGCATAGCAGAGTCAGTTTTGTATATAGAAAACACATCAAGATAGGAGGGAAGAGGAAACTGAAGCTAGTATTTTCTAGATTTAGGGTTAAGAATGGGACAGTGACATGGATGAGCCAGTTTTCTCTTTTGTTTTTCTCCCCATGAGGTTACAAAATGAGCAATGGTAAATTCTCACTTCTTGTTTTCCCTGTTATACTCAACATTAGCTTTGAATCCCTTTTTCCTGCTTTCTCTAAACTGTGCTGAGAATGAATGGCAAACAACTCCAGGGACAGCTGAATCTAAGCTATGCCTTTGTGTATACTATACAAAAAGAAATACGGGTCTGAAGAACTCTGGCTTGTTTTAGAGAGAATGGTGCAATAGAGAGAATCCAAACTGAATTAAGAAATGCAGAATTACTTTTGTCTTGGTTAGCTTAACCTTTATAAGCCTAAATTTTAATTTAACCAGTGAGTGATTATAGGACAACATTTTCCAGTCTCATCACAGGTTAGAGTGACTCAGTAAGGTGGGCATGATCTTATAAAAGACTCTCGTTAAAGCCAGAAGGGTAACTAGTTTATTGTCCCTGGCTTAACTTCAAGGTGCATGTTCTGGGTTGTGGAATTTAGTTGTTGTTTTAAGAACCAGTATCAGGGGTGCAGAGGTCTTATGTGGATTTGGAGAGAAGTGAGGGACTAAAACCTTGGCTAAACTTAAGCATTCCATTTACTAGATTGAAGAGAGGAAAAATCTGTTAAAATATTAAAATCTTTCCAAATTCAGAAATAGACTATAACTGGGGCCAGGCATGGTGGCTCACGCCTGTAATCCCAGCACTTAGGGAGGCTGAGGTGGGCGAATCACCTGAGGTCGGGAGTTCGAGACCAGCCTGACCAACATGGAGAAACCCCGTCTCTACTAAAAATACAAAATTAGCTGGGCGTGGTGACGCATGCCTATAATCCCAGCTACTTGGGAGGCCGAGGCAGGAGAATCGCTTGAACCTGGAAGGTGGAGGTTGCGGTGAGCCGAGATGGTGCCATTGCACTCCAGCCTGGGCAACAAGAGCGAAACTCCGTCTCAAAAAAAAAAAAACAACAGAAGACTGTAACTTAAATAGTGCATGGTAATGTGCAGCATTGAATTTGAAAGAAACAAGGGGAATAAAACTTAATGACTATGAGATAAATGGAATGCAGGAGTTTTAAAAAGTTCTTGTTAAAAAATTTGACGAGAGGATTTTCTCTTGTGAAACGTTTAGATAACCCTCTAGAAAAAAACCAGGAGAAAATCTTTGTGACCTTGAGCTAGGCAGAGTTTTAAAAAATAGAACACAAAAACCACAAACTATGAAGAAAAAATTTATGTTGGCTTTCATCAAAGTTAGAAACTTGTACTCTTTAAAAAGTGTATTTTCTGTTAAGAAAATGAAGAGGCAAGCCACAGAAAATATTTGCAAAATGTTTATCTAATAAAGGACTTATATTTATGTGAAAGGAAAATAAGTCTTGGGGCCCCCAAATCACTAAGCTAAAGGGAAAAGTAAAGCTGGGAACTGCTTAGGGCAAATCTGTGTCTCATTCTGTTCAGAGTCATCCCCTGCCTACCGAGATAGATGCATATCTGATTGCCTTCTTTGGAAGGGCTAATCAGAAACTCAAAATAATGCAACCATTTTTCTCACCTGGAAGCCCCCCTCCCTACTCCAAGTTGTCCCGCCTTTCTGGACTGAGCCAGTATACATCTTGATTGATGTCTCAAGTCTCCCTAAAATGTATAAAAGCAAGCTGTGCCCCAACCACCTTGGGCACATGTCGTCAGGACCTCATGAGGCCGTGTCCTGGGCGTATGTCTTCAACCTTGGCAAAATAAACTTTCTAAATTAACTGAGACCTGTCTCAGATATTCGGGGTTCACATTTAGAATGTATAAAGAACTCTTACAACTCAATAGTAAGAAGACAAACAGCTCGATTTTTAAAAAAGAAAAGATTTGAATAGATACTTCAAAGAAACTAATACAAATAACCAATAAACACATGAAAAAAATACTCAATATTGTTAGTCCTTAGGGAAATGCAAATTAAAATCACAGTGAGATACCACTTCACACCTATTAGAATGGGTAACATTAAGACAGTACCAAGTGTTGGTGGATATAGAGCAACCTGCCTCTTGTGCATTGCTGGTGGAAATGCAAAGTGGTCCAGCCGCTTTGGTAAACGGTTTGGCAGTTTCTTGTAAGTTAAGTAGATACTTACCATATGACCCAGCAATCCCATTCTTAGATATTTACCCAAGAGAAATGAAATCATGTGCCTACACAGACTTGTAGCTTAATGTTCATAGCAGCTTTATCTATGATACCACCAAACTGGATGTAACCCAAATGTCCTTCATCTGGTGAATGGATAAACAGATTGCAGTATGTCCATTTAATGGAGTACTACTCTGCAGGAAAAAGGAGTGAACTACCGAAATGTGTAACAACATGTATGAATCTAAGAACCATTATGCTAAGTGAAAAAATGCTACACACGAAGGACTACATTTTGCGTGTGATACAAATGTATTTCTATGTACCTTTTGAATGTATTCACCTGGATATCCTGTAGACACTCCAAACTTAACATGTTTAATTCTCTACTCATTATCTTTTGATATGGTTTGGCTGTGTCCCCACCCAAATCTCACCTTGAATTTTAGCTCCCATAATTCCCATTGTTGTGGGAGGGATCCAGTGGGAGATAATTGAATCATGGGGTGGTTTCCCTCATACTGTTCTCATGGTAGTGAATAAGTCTCACAATATCTGTTGATTTTATAAGGGATTTCCCCTTTCGCTTGGCTCTCATTGTCTCTTGCCTGCTGCCACGTAAGACATGCCTTTTGCCTTCTGACATGGTTGTGAGGCCTCCCAGCCATGTGGAACTGTGAGTCCATTCAACCTTTTTTCTTTAGAAGTTACCCAGTCTCTAGTATGTCTTTATCAGCAGTGTGAAAATGGACTAATAGAGTAAATTGGTACTGGGAGTGAGGCGGTGCTGTAAAGATACCTGAAAATATGGAAGTAACTTTGGAACTGGGTAACAGGCAGAGGTTAGAACAGTTTGGAGGGCTCAGAGGAAGACAGGAAAATGTGGGAAAGTTTGAAACTTCCTGGAGACTTGTTGAATGACTTTGAACAAAATGGTGATGATATGGACATTGAAATCCAGGCTGAGGTGGTCTCAGATGGAGATGAGGAATTTGTTGGGAACTGGAGCAAAGGTCACTCTTGTTATGCTTTAGCAAGGAGACTGGAATCATTTTGCTCCTGCCCTAGAAATCTGTGGAACTTTGAATTTGAGAGAGATGATCTGAAATTGGAACTTACATTTAAAAGGGAAGCAGAGCATAAAAGTTTGGAAAATTTGCAGCCTGACAGTGGCGATAGAAAAGAAAAACCCATTTTTTGAGGAGAAATTCAAACTGGCTACAGAAATTTGCATAAATAAAGAGGAGCCAAATCACCAAGACAATGGGGAAAATGTCTCCAGGGCATGTCAGAGGTTTTCATAGCAGCCACTCCCATCACAGACCTGGAGGCCTAGGAGGAAAAAATGGTTTTGAAGGCAGGGCCCAGGTCCCCCCTGCTGTGTGCAGTGTAGGGACTTGGTGCCCTGTGCCCCAGTTGCTCCAGCTGTGGCTGAAAGGAGCCAAGGTACAGCTTGGGCCATCGCTTCAGAAGGTGCAAGCCCCAAGCCTTGGCAGCTTACACGTGATGTTGAGCCTGTGGGTGCACAGAAGTCAAGAACTGAGGTTTGAGAACCTCTGCCTGGATTTCAGAGGATGTATGGAAACTCCTGAATGTTCAGGCAGAAGTCTGCTATGGGGTGGGGCCCTCATGGAGAACCTCTGCTAGGGCAATGTTGGGGGGAAATGTGGGGTTGAAGCTCCCACACAGAGTCCCCACTGGGGCACTGTCTAGTGGAGCTGTGAGAAGAGGGCCACCGTCCTCCAGACCCCAGAGTGGTAGATTCACTGACAGTTTGTACCATGTGCCTGGAAAAGCCTCAGGCACTCAGTGCTAGCCCACGAAAGCAGCTGGGGAGGAGGCTGTACCCTGCAAAGCCACAGGGATGGAGCTGCCCCAGACCATGGGAACCCACCTCTTGTGTCAGCGTGACCTGGATGTGAGACATGGAGTCAAAGGAGATCATTTTGGAGCTTTGAGATTTGACTGCCCTGCTGGATTTTGGACTTGCATGGGCCCTGCAGCCCCTTTGTTTTGGCCAATTTCTCCCATTTGGAACAGGTATATTTACCCATTGCCTGTACTCCCATTGTATCTAGAAAGTAACTAACTTGATTTTGATTTTACAGGGTCATAGGCAGAAGGGACTTGCCTTGTCTCAGATGATACTTTGGATTGTGAACTTTGAGTTAAGACTTTGGAGGACTGTTGGGAAGGCATGATTGGTTTTGAAATGTAAGGACATGAGATTTGGGAGGGGCCGGGGTGGAATGATATGGTTTGGCTGTGTCCCCATCCAAATCTCATCTTGAATTATAGTTCCCATAATTCTCATGTGTTATGGGAGGGATCCAGTGGGAGATAATTGAATCACGGAGGCAGTTTCCCACATACTGTTCTTGTGGTAGTGAATAAGTCTCACAAGATCTGATGATTTTATAAGGGATTTCTCTTTTCGCTTGGCTCTCATTCTCTCTTGCCTGCTGCCATGTAAGACATGCCTTTCACCTTCCACCGTGATTTGTGAGGCCTCCCCAGCCACATGGTACTGTGAGTCCATTAAACCTCTTTTTCTTTGTAAATTAACCAGTCTCTGATACGTCTTTAACAGCAGCATGAAATTGGACTAATATATCTTTTTTTTCATGTTTGCTTTGCCTCCTTAATTCTCCTTCATTTATCCAGGCTCCCAACCATAGAAAATTTGCCTTTTTCCTTGGCTTCTTCCTCTTGTTTATTCATTTGACCTCACAGATCATTGATCCTGTTGCTTCTGAGAGCATAAAGCAGGAGAGCAACCCATCCAGGGTTGGCTCCCAACTTGCACCCTAAGCCCTGGCCACCCTCAACCAATGTGACTAATGAGGGTCTATGTTGGACCCTGTCTATATTGTGGCCAGTGTATAGCTACTCCATTGGACCAGTAGCCCCTTATCTTGTGCTCATTAATGGGTCTGTCCCCCTTCAGAGTCTTTCACATTGTCCCCAGAGTTACTTCATTTAAAATGTGTGATCCTTTTTCTCTCTCGGTTAAAAAACATCTTTTTGTTGTTGTTGTTGCTTAAAGTCTAAAATGAAGTCATATTCCTTTAACATTCCTTTTTGTTTTGTTTTGTTTTGTTTTGAGAGGGACTCTCGCTCTGTCGCCCAGACTGGAGTGCAGTAGCATGATCTCAGCTTACTGCAACCTCTGCCTCCTGGGTTCAAGCAATTCTCCTGCCTCAGCTTCCCCAGTAGCTGGGAATACAGGCGTGTGCCACCATGCCCGGCTAATTTTTTTTGTATATTTAGTAGAGACAGGGTTTCACCATGTTAGCCAGAATGGTCTCGATCTCCTGAACTCGTGATCCACCTGCCTTGGCCTCCCAAAATGCTGGAATTACAGGTGTGAGCCACTGCGCCCGGCTAAAATTTCAAATTAAATATTTCTGAGCTTAATTCTTCCTATCCCAAGAATAATATCTTTTTCCCCCCTTCTGGAAGTTCTTTTTGATACATCAGTATTGCCAGTTAAGAGTAGAGAAAGAATATAAACTCTGGAATCACATTGCTTGACTCCTTCACTTATAAACTAGATGGCTATAGGCAAGTCATTTTAGCTTTCTGTGCTTCTGTTTCCTAATCTATAAAATATGGATAAAGTATGCTTTCCTCATATGGTTGATGTGAGAGTTAAATGAGATAATATAGATGTAGCACTTTATACAATGCCTGGCACATAGTAAGTTCTCAATAAAGGTTGATTCTTGTTATCATCATCCTTCAGAGAACACTGGAAAATCCATTATTTTGGATTGTTGCTGTAGTTTTTTCCACATGGAATCTCTCTGGAAAACCAGTGAGTCCTTCAGGTAGATTGAAGCCATCTTCCTCACTTGCTGTGGGTTGGGCTATTGTGGCCTGGCACAAACCACCCTCATAACCTGGCAACCCAGCAGCCTGGTCTGTGCATACAGCCTTGTCCCCCAAGGCACTCCATATCACCTGGGTGTAAAGTTTCAGTCTCAAGCAATTCTCCTTGTCCTTATTCTCCAAGTCTTGCTCCCCAAGAGCAGCGGATTCGTTTCTTTTCTCAGTGCATCTCCATTTTACATATGAGGCAACTGAAGAGAAATTTACAGCAAGTCCTCACTTGATGTTGATAGGTTCTTGGAAACTTCTCCTTCAAACAAAATGATGTATATTGATAACCAGTTTTACCATAGGCTAATTGATATAAACAAGAATTAAGTTCCTATGGCATATTTCTGGTCACAAAAATATCACCAAACTATTTTAAATAAAGACCAGAACATAATATACATATTAAAATAAATGAGAGCAGTATGTATAAGAAAGATTGATAAAAACAAGTTAGATAATTATAACATTTACCCAATTATTCCAGTCCACGGTTGAGGGTGGCCAGGGCTTAGGGTGCAAGTTGGGAACCAGCGCTGGATGGGACGCCATTCTATTGCAGGGCTCTCTCGCTTGTGTGCTGTCTCTCTCTCTCTCTCTTGCTCTTGCTCTCTCTCTCTCTCTCTCACACACACACACACACACACACACACACCCCTCACTGTCACTTAGACTGGGACACTTTAGACATGCCAGTTAACTTTGAAGTGCACATCTTTGGGATGTGGGAGGAAATCCAAGTATCCAGAGAAAACCCACACAGAGAATGTGTGAACTCCACACATTGGTGCCTGCCAGGAGTCCATTTTTTTACTCCTCAAAATCATAAGAAAACAGTGTTGAATGAAACTGATGTCGTTTGAGGACCTGCTGTAACTTGTTTAAGATCATTCAGTAGTAAGATTCATGCTCTTAACCACTACATGGTAGTCATCCTAGTTTAGCCCCAGGTGGTCTTTCTAAACACCTTGGTTTTTTTTGGAGACAGAGTCTTGCTCTTCACACGGTCTGAAGTGTAGTGGAGCAGTCAGGGCTCCCTGCAGCCTCACCCTCCTGGGCTCAAATGATCCTCCCACCTCAGCCTCCTGAGTAGCTGGGACCATAGGTGCATACCACCACACCCAGCTTTTTTTTTTTTTTTTTTTAGAGATGGGATCTCACTATGTTACCCAGATTGGTCTTGAACTCCTGGGCGCAAGCCATCCTCCCACCTCAGCCTCCCAAAGTGCTGGGATTACAGGTATGAACCACCATGCTCAGCCTGCTTACTCATTCTTAAGTAATCAGCTCTGTTGTCTCTGCTTTTCCACTTGCACATACAGTTACTTCTCCTTCCTCTGCCCTCCATACTTTGCTTATTCCTCTTTTATGGCACTTGCAACATTGCATTGTCCTTCTCCCATGGCGGACCAAGTTCATTGAGGTTAAGAAAGCACCCTGTCTTATTTATCCTTGTGACTTTAGCTTTTATCACGTAGCCCAGTATATAGCAAATGCTCAAGAAATGTGAAATGAATGAAGAATGAACGATGAAGAGGAACCTATAGATGTTGGTAGTCTGTGAATTATCGAGTGAATTAGACTGTAACCCCATTTCATGCCTCCCAGATTTGGGCATCAGGGCAGGCAAGAATGTTCTAGAAGCCAGAAGATAAATGACACGTGTTCCTGCAGCAAAAGATTTTAGGCAAAGAGAAAATAAATATAGATATCTAGGATGGGGAAACATAGCAGAAAAATAATATCATTTAAAATGTGAGTATATGGTATGAGTAAGGTAATGCACAGTAGATCAGAAGTTGAGTGAGGGTTTTGGCTCAAGTACCTCTAGTGGTAAAGGATATGTTAACTCCTTGGTGCCGGGAGCAGAGGCCCAAGCAGCCTTTCTGCTTCAAGTTCAGAATATCTATGAATATATTCAACATATCCATGTTTTATCTTTAGAAATTCATGCAAATATTACATTCTGTTTTATTATCTATGAGTTTGATTTAACATGAAATTTTTTTTTCTCCCCAGTCACTCATCCTCTAGTGAAACAGATGCTGTAGGAACATGGGTCATTTATCCTCTGGCTTCTAGCACATTCTAGCATGCCCCAGTGTCCAAATCTGGGAGTTATAGAATGAGGTACAGTCTAATACGGCAGCACAGTAGATTTCTGTGATTTGGGGGATTGCCTGCTCAAGAGTAGTATGTCATGGAACTGAGGAGAGTGAGTTCATCCTGCTGACTAATGAGGCTGTCCCTGGAAGGCTGCAGTCATTTGGAGGCACCTCATTACCAGATCGTTGGGGATCAGCTGGAGAGAGTTCACAGAAGACCCACAGGAATGATTAAGAGACTGGAGAGGCTGACTGATGAAGAAAGTATAAATGAAAACCATGTAACTTGGCTAAACCACAATAGCAGAAATAGACAACTGTATAAATATCTCAAGAGTATAAACTTGATGGAGGAGGGCAATCTTTTATGGTGGGATTTTGGGTTGGGGAGTATAAACTAAGAGTGGAATTAAGCCATAGTAAATGTAAACTGATAATCCAAAGTGTCTGATATATTCTTGGAACCTCCTTAGTTAGACCACCCTAACCTGTGCACTTTTTGAAAATTGAATAGTTTGTTTTTTTAAGTTCATGTCCCTGGACTCATGGCTGGTGCTTCTCTGTGGAGAATGCTGGAGATTGCATCTTACAAAACAAACGTCTTTCTTTTGTCTTGTCATTTGGTGGACATCAGTAGGTGATATCAGAACTTCTGTTTGCTGCCACTAGCTCTGTATGCACCAAAATTTTGAAATGGACTTTTACATCATGTTTTTCATGGCTGTGTGTGTGTGTGTGTGTGTATGTGTGACAGGATCTCTCTCTCTGTTACCCAGGCTAGAGTACAGTGGTGTGGTGTGATCACAGCTCACTGTAGCCTCAAACTTCTGGGCTTAGGAGATCCTCCTGCCTTAGCTTCTGAGTAGCTAGGACAACAGGGGCATGCTACCACGCCCAGCTAATTTATTTTATTTTATTATTTTATTTTATTTTTTGAGACGAAGTCTTGCTTTGTCACCCAGGATGGAGTGCAGTGGCGCAATCTTGGCTCACTACAACTTAAGCCTCCCAAGTTCAAGTGATTCTCCTGCCTCAGTCTCCTGAGTAGCTGGGATTACAGGTGTGTGCCACCATGCGTGGCTAATTTTCGTATTTTAGTAGTGATGGGGTTTTGCCATGTTGGCCAGGCTTTTCTCAAACCCCTGACCTCAGGTGATCTGCCCACTTTGGCCTCCCAAAGTGCTGGGATTACAGGCGTGAGCCACCATACCTGACCAATTTATTTTTATTTTTTTAGAGAGGGCCCAGTCTGGTTTCAACTCCTAGGCTCAAGTGATCTTCCCAGTTCAGCCTCCTAAAGTGTTGGGAATACAGGTGTGCACTACTGCACCTGGCCTTTCACAGCTTTTTAGAATAGCACTTTAGAAGTAGAGACTGAGTTAGTAGTATGTGTTATAGTAATTTTAGCAACCCGGATACAGTATTTGGTCCCCGAGATACTAGTTTTAGGAAATATTAGCCTTGATCAAATGCAAGCATGATTGTATGAAATACATACTTTGGAAAATGACTGTAAAATTCCTAATTGGGGTATGGGAAGAATAAAGCCATCAAGTCATAGTTGAAACTAGATGTGTTTGCATAACATTGCAAGTTTTGTAATTCTTTTCCTAAGAAGAGATGGTAGAACTGGAAGAAAATGATTTGTATGCTTTCTTTGATTTAGAAAAATGTATTTGTTTATATAAGGTAGTTGTGTAGCTTTAAGACTAAGACCTCTACACCTGGAATTGGTATACTTTTTCAATAAAGCATCAGATAGTAAAGTTTTGTGGGCCATATGTCTCTGCTGCAACTACTCAGCTCTGCCATTGTGCAAAAGCAGCCACAGATAATATGTAAATGAATGAACTTGGCTGTTTTCACAAAAACAGGCGGCTGTTAGGATTTGGCTTGCTGACTCTTAACTTGGATTCTCACTTCTGAAAGCATGGTCTAGGAGACCAGCAGCATCAGCATTACCTGTGAACCTGTTAGAGATACAGAATGTTGAGCCCCTTCTCATACTGATTGCTCTAGAGTCTAAACCATGTTTCTCAAACTTCAGCATACATAGGACTCACCTGGGGATCTTGTGAAAGTACAGACTCTGAGATAGCAGGGCTGAACACCATACTAGCCTTGGGGAGGCAATGTTATGACCTGGTCAGTGTTCCTTGGGGAGTCCGCAATCTATTAGGAGAGACTGCTATATAAACAAATAATTTCAATACAGACTAGTAAATGCTATAACGGAGGTATCTTCAGCAGAGGAGCACCACAAAGGAGGAAGTGGCTGATTCTATCTGGTGTGGGAAGAGTCCTCAGAGAGGCCTTGGAGCAGGACCAGAGAAGGGGGAGTGCTTGAGTTGAGTTTTGAAGCTCAGTAGAGGTACTGAAGCATTGCGGTGAGCATGGTAGCTCACGGTAGGGATAGTAAAGCTTATATTACAACTAGGAGTTATTTGATTTAATAATCAAATAGCTGATCACAGGGTTGGAAACCTGCTAACATCATAGTGAATAGAAATAAAAGTTCAGGCTGGGTGTGGTGGCTCATTCCTGTAATCCTGGCACTTTGGGAAGCTGAGGCGGGCGAATCACCTGTGGTCAGGAGTTCAAGACCAGCCTGGCCAACGTGGTGAAACCCTGCCTCTACCAAAAATACAAAAACTAGCTGGGCATAGTAGTACGCACCTGTAGTCCCAGCCACTAGGGAGGCTGAGGCAAGAGAATCGCTTGAACCCAGGAGGTGGAGGTTGTAGTGAGGCAGTGAGCCAAGATCATGCCAGTGCACTCCAGCCTGGGCAACAGAACAAGACTCTATCTCAAAAAAAAAAAAAAAAAGAAGGAAAGAAAAGTTCAGTATAATCTGTTATCTTAATTTCTTTATACCATTTTCTTTCTTTCTTTTTTTTTTTTTTTTTTTCCGAGACAGAGTCTCACTCTATCGCCCAGGCTGGAGTGCAGTGGCGCAATCTTGGCTCACGGCAAACTCCGCCTCCCGGGTTCACACCATTCTCCTGCCTCAGCGTCCCAAGTAGCTAGGACTACAGGCACCCGCCACCGTGCCTGGCTAATTTTTTGTATTTTTAGTAGAGACGGGATTTCACCGTGTTAGCCAGGATGGTCTTGATCTCCTGACCTCATGATCCGCCCGCTTCAGCCTCCCAAAGTGCTGGGATTACAGGCGTGAGCCACCGTGCCCAGCCTCTTTATACCATTTTCTTATTTGAAAAAAGGATAACTTGCCCATTCTCTCCCTTATTTAAGGAAAATCAGTCCCCACCAAAAATGTGTTCTCCAGAAATAGAAACTTTTTACATGTCCTTGCAACATTAAGAATTTGAAAAACACTAAAAGGTACAGGTAGAAAATAAAAATTATTTATAATTCCGTATACCAAGAGATGATCACTATTAATATTTTTATATTTTCCTTTCAGTCTTCTTTATGTAATGTTATGTTTCTAAATTTGGACTTGTGCTACATAAACAGTTTTGTTCCTACTTTTTTATTTAACATTTTATTTGTAAGCATTTCCCTATGTTGTTTATTCCTTAAAAGTGTCATTTAAAAATTCCTTATATAGTATTCTACATAGTGCTCTCTTATAGCTTACGTATATAGTCTGTTGTTTGTGGATCCTTTAAGCTGGTTCCAGTAGCCAGTTGACCCAGGTTTTGGCTCTTGTACTTGGCAAGTCTGTTGGCATTATTTATTTATTTATTTATTTATTTATTTTGAGACTGGGTCTGGCTCTGTTGCCCAGGGTGGAGTGCAGTGGCATGATCTCGGCTCACGTCAACGTCTGCCTCCTGGGCTCAAGCCAACCCCCACCTCAGCCTCCAAGTAACTGGGACCACAGGCGCCTGCCGCCATGTCTGGGTAATTTTTGTATTTTTTGTAGAGACGGGGTTTTGTTATGTCGCCCAGGCTGGTCTTGAACTCCTGGGCTCAAGTGATCCGCCTGCCTTGGCCTCCCAAAGTGCTGGGATTACAGGCGTGAACTACTGTGCCCGGTCATGTTGCTGTATTTTAAACTAAATACATATACTTATTTATTTTTAATGATAAAAGTTTGCCAACTTAATTTCATTTACTGGTCTTCACTCATTCTGTTCTTTTAGCATTTTGTGCTTTCTTCCTTGGTTTCCCATAGTGGAGAGGCAGTAGAGTAGTCATTAAAAGCAGGGATTCTGGGTCCAGGTTGTCTGAGTTTGACTCAGCTCTATTACTCACTGTGTGTTTTCTTGGAAAAGTACTTTAACCTTTCTGTGTCCCAGTTTCCTCATCTGTAAAATAGGGATAATTGTATCTGTGTTAAAATAGGGATAATTGTATCTGTGAGTTTATGTGTATGAAGCACTGAGAACAGTTCCTGCCATATGGTAAGACTGTCTCTTCATTTACTAATTAGTAGTCTCTTCTCATTTGTCTTATGGTGGCTGTTTGTGTATGCATTGCCATAAACCCCCTTTCTGCTACATTTTTGGTTCATGAATATCTTCGAGAGTTATAAACTGACTTTACTGGACTTTATTTAGTGACTTTATTTTGAAAGTTCACAGATTTTCCCCTGACTCGTAGTAGCAGATTTTACTGTTTTAAATATAAAATCAACTTTATTTAAGCATGTCTTGGAAATGCATATGTGGGCACGAAGGGAGCAGACTGCATAGGCTGATAGATTGGGCTTTAAAGCTCTTTGGAAGTTTCTCCTTTCCAGCTGAATATTGTCTCAATTCCTTACCATGGCATATAAGGCTGTCCGTAACCTGGTTCTGGCTGTGCGTTCATCTCACTTGTCTTTGTGGTTGCTCCAGACCCTGTGCTGCAACCCCATTATATTCAAACTGGGTATGTGGTTGTGCTGAAGGTTACTCTTTAAGTCTGTGGCCTAGTTTGCTTCTACTGAAGAATGGACTCACACCTGTAATCCCAGCACTTTGGGAGGCCAAGGCAGGAGGATTTCTTGAGCTTAGGAGTTCAAGACTAGCCTGAGCAACATGGCAAAACCCCGTCTCTACAAAAAACACAAATAAAAAATTAGCCAGGTGTGGTAGTGCACGCCTGTAGTCCCAGCTACTTGGGAGGCTGAGGCGGGAGGATCGCTTGAGCCCAGGAGGTCAAGGCTGCAGTGAGCTGTAATCATGCCACTGCACTCCAACCTGGGTGATGGAGAAAGACCCTGTCTCAAAAACAAAAACAAAAACAAAAAAACTGTGTCTAATTCTGAAGCTCAATGCTCTTAACCTCTATGCTGAATCATGAAAAAGAATAATGTCATAAGGATAGGGAAGTATTTGGGGACAGTGAACTGAAGGAAGCTCTGGCACTTCTCAGCCGGAGACATAGTTATAGACAGTGAGGCTGCCAGTTGACTTTTCTTATGGAGTTGGAGAGAGGCCTCAAGGAAACTGTGTGGAGTTTTAATTGAGAATGCTTGGTCAGAGTTTACCAATTTTTGGTTATTTTTAGTGTCCCAGGGTTTCCACTGCCTGTTCTACCTTCTCTTTGATTTTTTTCTGGGGAATCCTTTTCAGAAATAAAAACCTATTCCAACTAACCCTGTTTTCTTTTTTGGACAGGATCCTGGGGCGTCCTTTGGCAGTCGATTGCACCCTGCACTAGAGAGAAGTCCAGGAATGATATATTCTTGGGCTGTATTTCTCTACCCTGGAGTTCATCCAGTTCATCCCAGAAACACTGACCTGATTACTGTGACAAAGTCTGATGGATAGACCCTTTCTGTTGACCTTGTGGCGTTTTTCTTTCATGTGGAAGTTGGAAGACAAGGTGAAAGGGGCCAAAAGTTACCTGCTTTGGTGAATAGGAGTGCTCTACTTGGTTCTCAGAACATGGGCCCTCGTTTAAAGGTAAGGTAACAGACTGAGTTAAGCTTTAGTTATTGGGATGTACAACATGGATCCAGTGACCAATTCCTAAGCCTTTTCAGCAAGGGATAGCTGTTAAAGTATACAGTTGCAGTGAGAATTGACTTTGTCCCCAGCAGAGCAATTTTAAATATGAAGAAACCAGTTCTCCATTTTTGGGAAATGACTTTTTCACAACTGGTTTTCAATGTTGGGGCTAAAATTTAGTTGCTACTGTAATTAAAAATCTTTATACTCCGAAAAAGCAGAGGATTTTAGAATATGTATGTTAATCAACTTTCTAACAGTCCCTTGAGACAGATATTTTGAAGTATTTTTCCCCTTTGGTAGGTAATGTGAGCCAAAATGCTGTAGTATTAAGCAACCAGACCAGGATCCTTCGTAAGCAAGTGATATTTCTGCACTAGAGAATTGGCATTGCATTCCACTTTTCTTTGACATGCTTTATTTATATATCAAAAGATTAAAAAAGAGCCATAAGAGTTTATCTTTCTAATTTTAGCCTTGCTATGAGATTCCTCACAGTAAGATTGGATAGTGTTTTCTCATACTTTGTTTTACCTGTTTTCATAAATCTTTTTTTCCCCAAATACTTCACTATCCTTATGACTTTATTCTTTTTCATGATTCACTGTAGAGGTTAAGAGCATTGAGCTTCGGAGTTAGACGTAGGCTTTTTTTTTTTTTTTTTTTTTTTTAAATGGAGACAGGGTCTTTCTCTGTCAACCAGGCTGGAGTGCAGTAGCACAATCATGGCTCACTGCAGCCTTGACCTCCTAGGCTCAAGCAGTCTTCCCGCCTCAGCCTCCCAAGTAACTGGGACTGCAGGCGTGCACTATGACATCCTAATTTTTTCTTTGTATTTTTTGTAGAGACAGGGTTTTGCCATGTTGCTCAGGCTGGTCCCAAGCTCTTGAGCTCAAGTGATCCTCCTGCCTTGGCTTCCAAAGTGCTGGGATTACAGGTATGAGCCGCCATGCCCTGCTAGGCTTTCCCAGCCCGGCTTGAATCTCAACTCTGTCACTTACCCCAATGTGAGATGTTCAGCAACCTTAAGCCCAGCTTAAAAAAAAAAAATCCATAAAACGAGAATAATAGTATTCATCTTACCAAGTTGTCGTGGTGACAGTTACTTAGGTTAACATATGTAAAGCACTGAAGGCAGTGTTTGGCCTGTGATAAGTGACTCAATAAGTGGGTAGAAAGCTGTTAATTTACTACTGTCATATTTTTCTTCTAGCTTAAAGTATCACAATATGCCATATTTATAAAGGTCAAGGACACTAAAGAGATGAACTTGAAAACACACAAAGTACTCATAACAATTTGATGAAATAGTACAGTAGAGCCTCACATACTTGTTTGTACTGCAATTAGACTTGGGAAAGTTCCAAAATAATTTCATACAGGAAAATTATGAATAGCAAAAAGTAGAGCATGCTGTAGAAACTGCTGTAGAAAAATACCATGCATGGGAATCTGCAACCCCAGTGGTGGGCATTTGATACCTGCTTGTTGAACTGAATTAAATTGGCAACTTTTAGGTTGAGGAACTTACAACGCCTGGCTCAAGTGAATATACTGTTAGAGAAATCCTTTCAAACTCTATCTACAAGGAAGATCCCATCTGGAAAATTCCTGATCCTTAGGCATTCTGGACAAAGAAAAGGACAGACATTTGATCTTATTCATATTTATTGAAGTTACTATATGCAATTATGTTGGTTTCTTTGGAGCTTTTTTTTTTTTTTTTTTTTTGGAGACAGGGTCTTGCTCTGTTGTGCAGTTGGAGTGCAGTGCAGTGGTGCCATCAGGGCTCACTGCAGCCTTAACCTCCTGGGCTCAAGGGATCCTTCTGCCTCAGATGCCCTCCTTGCCTCCAGTAGCTTGGATATAGGTGTGTGCCAGCACGCCCAGCTAATTTGTTTTCAAGTTTTAGTAGAGGTGAGGTCCCACTATATTGCCCAGACTGGTCTCAAACTCCTGAGCTCAAGTGATCTTCCCACCTCAGCCTCCCAAAGTGTTGGGGTTACAGACATGAGCCACCATGCCCAGCCTGGAGGATTTTTAAGACTACTCATTACCACTCTAAAATGAAAAAACGAGACTAAAAGAATAAAAGTGCTAGGCCGGGCATGGTGGCTCACACCTGTAATCCCAGCACTTTGGGAGGCTGAGGCAGGCGGATCACCTCAGGTTGGGAGTTTGAGATCAGCCTGACCAACATGGAGAAACCCCGTCTCTACTAAAAATACAAAATTAGCCAGGCGTGGTGGTGCATGCCTGTAATCCCAGCTACTCGGGAGGCTGAGGCAGGAGAATCGCTTGAACCCAGAGGTAGAGGTTGCGGTGAGCTGAGATCACGCCATTGCACTCCAGCCTGGGCAACAAGAGTGAAACTCCGTCCCAAAAAAAAAAAAAAAAAAAAAAGAAAAGTGCTATAAGATAAATAAAAACAATGTTCTATGGAGATTCACATGAGGGAAGGAATTTCTAAATTTAATATTAGGGAAGATTTTGGAGAGAGTGGATAGGATTTTTCCTAGACCTCAGGATCAGGAGATTTTCCATGCATAGAGAATAAAAGGAAGGAGGATATTCTAGGCAGAGGAGATGAGTTTTCAAAAGGAATGGAGAGGGGACATTTCAGAGCTGTATGTAAAAGTGTAAAGGATCTAATTTGGATAGATCATAGGATGAATAACAAGGTATTATAGCAACTGGGGCCAAGGAGAATAGCGTGGGGTAGGGGTAGCAGTAGATACAGGACAGAGAGAGCCCCCAACAGGGTCGGAACATGCTTACAGAAAATGCTTACAGAACAGAGGTAAGATCTGGAATAAAAGCGATTTGAGTGACAAAAATAGGGAGGCCTGGCTGGGCGTGGTGGCTCACGCTTGTAATCCCAGCACTTTGGGAAGCCAAGGCAGGTGGTTCACTTGAGGTCAGGAGTTCAAGAGCAGCCTGGCTGACATGGTGAAACCCTGTCTCTACTAAAAAAAAAAAAAAATACAAAAAATTAGCCTGGCGTGGTGGTGGGCACCTGTAATCCCAGCTACTCGGGAGGCTGAGGCAGGAGAATTGCTTGAACCTGGGAGGTGGAGGTTGCAGAGAGCCAAGATTATGCCACTGCACTCCATCCTAGGCAACAGAGCAAGACTCTGTCTCAAAAAAAATAAAAATAAAAATAAAAATAAAATAGAAGGGCTTTTGAGAGAATTCAGGAGGAACCAGAAAGGGGGAATTTGTAGAACGAAGGCAAATTCAGAATGTGACCATGGGTGAAACTGGGAGGTCAGTAAATACTATGGGGGTGGGGAGTGGTTTGAGAGCTGTTGTAGAGCAGTGGGACATTTTGTAAAGTTGATGTCAGCGAATGATGAATTGATAGAACTAACTCTCTGGTCATGAGGAGGTTTCAAGAAGACAGTTGTTTGGGGAAAAAGTAGTAATTGGTCTGTTGAGTTTTAAATGATGAATAGAGGTGGGGCAGAAATGTAGAACTGACTCATTGGAGAAGGTTTAGCTGATCTTGAAAATCAGTAGTGATGATTTGATTGAGAAATAAGTGACAGGGGAAAAATGGCCGAGGACTCCACAAGGTAAAGCTCATTACTGCCAGCTTCATGATAACTGGACTGTGGCTCTCATGTTCTAATTTGTCCTCCCTGTACCTGGCACATTGAGTAAGTACTCAGGGCCGGGCGTGGTGGCTCACGCCTGTAATCCCAGCACTTTGGGAGGCTGAGGCGGGTGGATCACGAGGTCATGAGATCGAGACCATCCTGGCTAACACAGTGAAACCTCGTCTCTACCAAAAATACAAAAAATTAGCTGGGCATGGTGGCAGGCACCTGTAATGCCAGCTACTCGGGAGGCTGAGGCAGGAGAATGGCGCGAACCCGGGAGGCAGAGCTTTCAGTGAGCCGAGATCACACCACTGCACTCCAGCCTGGGTGACAGTGTGAGACTCCGTCAAAAAAAAAAAAAAAAAAAAAAAAAAGTAAGTACTCAGTATTTGTTGGACGAATTATTTTAGGATGAGTTTTTAACCCTTTATTGTAAAATTTTTTAGGCATAAAATTAGAATAGTATAAAGAACTCCCATGCAGACTGTTCAGGGACAGTAATAGAAGCCATGCCTTTTGAAATTCAGATGCATTTCTCTTTGAAGAAAGTGTGGGCCAGTAGAGAGGAGTTTCCTATCAGCTTTGAAGTAAAGGAGTAGTGATACTGGCGCTACTATTGATAATAATTGTAATAATCATTAAAACTTTGAGAACTCACTGTGTGCCAGGCACTACTGTAGGCTGCTTACATGTGTTAACTCATTTAATCCTCACAGCACCCCGTGAGGTACATATAAGGAAACTGGCACTCCTTTACAAAGATTAAATGACTTGTCCAGGGTCACATTATGAATGATGGGGCATGGATTTGAAGCCAGGTAATCTAACTCTAGAGTCTGCCCCCTTATCCTCTATCTTATGCTATTTGTTATGCTGTTTGGCTAGAGCTTTGATGGCCATGGGGAGTTGCATTGAAGTCATATCATACTAAAGGAGATGATACCATAGAAATTATTAAATTGCAACTCTTTTTACAGCAATGAGATTCTGAAGCCTAGATAGGTCACACAGTTTGCAGTCCTGGGATTGTTCTCCAGGCTTTTCAATTACTGCATGTCAGCTGTCTCTCACAGAAGGGTTGTTGTAGTTGTCAGAGATAGTAGGTGGGAATTTTTCTAGCCCTCATGACTCAAGCCATACATTTGGCACTGCTTTTATTCCTCTAAGAAGACCACAAATCTGTAACACCAGCCACATATACTTCATTTCTTTGCTGAGTGCTGTAACTTCCCTGAGGACCAGAAATTTCACATCTAGGGTCAGATCGAATGGCATCCCGCTGAGGAAGTACCTAAGGCAGTTAAACTGCCAGTTTTGGTCCCACCAAGTCATCTAGTGCATCCTGTAAGATGCAGACAGATGCTTTTTGAGAGATCGTAGCAGATTTTTGAGATGATAGCTGTTGGGTCCCCAGCTAATTCAGCATAGGGTCCCAAGAGATGAGATACTTGTTTGGGAAGGAGGTTCAGTAGTTGTGATCCCAAATTTTGGCTCTTTATATTGTCTGTAATAGACCCTTTTGGGAGCACCTTCATCCACGTGACAATTCTAATGTTCCCAGTGTGGATTTCTTTTCTAGTAGGACTTTAGATAATCACTCTAAGTAGGATTTGTATGAAACTTTTGACGGTCATTCCTCAAATTACCTACTCTCTGTGGGTTCCACTGGGTATATTGTTATCAGAGGAACTAAGCAAGCACAATCAGATGTAAAAACACACCCTGAAAAAAAGTTGTTTTGGTCCCTCCCAGATCTGAGCCTAGAAATTTTTAGCTGTCTTGTCTCTACGTAATATTCTAGTGCTGATAAAAGGTGTTGGGTCAAGATAACATTGACAGCCTTAGTGTACGCTGACTTGAAAAGAAAGAGTGCATTCATGCATTGTAAAATAGCATATACAGCCTGTGCTAAGGTCAGACTCAGTGATAAGATATGAACGTTAGCATACATTGCATTTTTCCTTGGCAGTACTTTTATTGGTTCACATGATCAAATGAGTAATTAAGATTGAAGTCTTATTCTGGAAACAAGTTTAACAACAGTGAAAGTCTTCCCTCAGACTCCTACCTTGACAGGCATGACTGAGGATGAGAAGTACAGTCTCCTTTTGTTCCTCTCCTTGGTCTTTCTGCTGAGCTCATCTTCCAGAGGGCCCATTAGTTTGTCTGATTGGTAACAGCATAAATGACTTCACTTTCAGACCCACTGCTTATTATTGGGATGACCCAGAGTTCATTTTAATTACATAATGCCAACATGATGATAATGATACTTGCTTTAAAAAAAAAAAATCTACATTTTATATAGCTATTTCTACTTAGCTGAATTACTCCCAAAAGGCAAACATAAGGGGAAAGTGACTCCATTACCCTCTTTGCATGTGTTAATTAGCACCACTTTGCATGAGGGAGGGAAACTGTCTTGGGAACTATGGATCTAAGAAGATGAAAGCCATGTTACTGCATTTTGAAATTAGCAATAAAGCAAGTGGCTGTTTGTGGTATTCCTAGAGTGGTCAGTAGATTGGAAGTCTTTAAGGGGAATGATGCAGTCTCTTTGTTTCTCTGAAATATATTATACGGCACCTGTCAAGCTAGAAAGAGGATAGGAATAGTAAGGCTCTGGACTAGAGAGAGTTGTTTGGCTCACGCCATACACTCTTCTTTGTCTTACTCTGAGATAGCTATGAGGCAGAGTTGGAGACAAAAACTAAACAAGTTTTCTTTTAACAGCTGCAGCTGTGATCCTCGGCTGTCTGTTGGCATTGACGGGACCTGATGTTTTACGTTATTGGTACGTTATGGAAAGAGCTCTCTCTATTATATTTTTGTAAAGGTTGCTTGGGTCCTTTTTGCCTTTCTGCCTATTCTTTTCCCTTTGAAAATGGAGCTGAAAATATTTCTAGTCGTGCCAGAATGTACCTTCACAGAGTTGGCATTGGAATTCATTCATTTGGGTTTATTGAGCAATTATAGTCAATGCCAGACACTGTTTACTGTGGAGTCTAAAGTTGAATAAGACAAAAATCTGCCTTCAAGGAGTAGGCATTCATAACATAAAGGGGAACGGTCAAGGAGGAGAAAAGTTATACCAGATGAATGTGTAGGAGTTTGAAGGAGCCCAGAAAAGGGAACTGCTAACTCTGGTGGGGATTGGAGAAGACTTTTGCCAAGTACACAAGGGAGGGGAGGGCTCCCAAATAATGCATTCTTTAAGAAGGAAATGGTGGGAACCAAAGGCACATCCTTTTGACTGCTTCTGTGGGGTGCCCAGCAAGTGCAGGAAGGTAGGGAGCAGGGCGGACATTATATGCAGCTCATATAGAGCAAGAGTTTGCAAACTTTTTCTATAAAAGGCCAGAGAGTAAATATTTTTGGTTCCGAAGGCTCATTTCAATGACTCAACTCTGCCAGTGTAGTGCAAAAGTAGCCATAGACAATTTATAAATGATGGGTGTGGCTGTATCCCAATGGAACTTTATTTACCAAAATAGGCAGTGGGTGGGCTTTGGCCTGAGGACTGTAGTTACTGACCCCTGGTGTAGAAGTTCCTTTCTTATCTACAGAGGTAGTGCCCAGTGCAGTGTTTCTTTGGCAGTCTTACAGTCTCATCCTGACCTCCTTTAATTTTTGAGAAATGGCTGGCCTGTTGCATAATGAAAAGCTGTAATGTGTAACTGGCAGGCGGTTTGTGTGTTCTCTCTTTTGCATAGGTGGAATCACAGTGTCTGTGGTTGCATTCTTCTTCACAATTAAGTTCCTCTTTGAGCTTGCCGCACGTGTAGTCAGCTTCCTCCAGAATGAGGACCGCGAGCGCCGAGGGGACCGGACTATTTATGACTACGTGCGGGGAAATTACCTGGATCCCCGGTCTTGCAAAGTCTCCTGGGATTGGAAGGACCCCTATGAGGTGGGCCACAGCATGGCCTTCCGAGTGCATGTAAGGGAATGTTTCTGTCTCCATACCCATTGGGGTTTCTGAGTAACTTGCTTTCCAGAGCCCAGGTGCTGGCCTGGAATGTTAACATTTTCTCTTGTTTTTCAACTCCCTCCAGGAACTAGTGAATTGCTACTATCTGAAGAGTCACAAATTTCTCTGTCATTTTGATTTAATAGGTCCTTAGCTTTGAAGAAGTATAAAGCTTAATGTTACCTTTTCAAAATAAGAAAAATATTACAGAAAAGAGTAAGTATTATAGATAGGGGTTAGCAAATCAGGCCCACCTTCTGTTTCTTTAAATACATTTGTCTTGGAACACAGCCACACCCATTCATCATGTATTGACTATGGCTGTTTTCACACCTGAGTAGTTATGACAGTTGAGTAGTTGTGTACGGTCCACAAAGCCAAAATATTTACTCTCTGGCACTTTACAGAAAAAATTTCCCAACTCCTGCATTGACTTCTCCACTGTAGCATTAAGCTTGGCTTGAGAGTCTGAACCCCTCCTACCTTTGTCTGGTAACGCTTTAGTTCACTCATTGCCAGTGCTGCCGGCTAACTTACCTTTAAATTTGGGTTAGCATTGATAATATAAAGGGCTGGTAAGACCAAGGAGGCAGCATTGGTGGTTCAGAAGTGGCAAGTTAAAATGGACATTTTCTTGATTTAGTGGTAAATTCTACCCTTGTCCTCTGAACAAGTTAAGAATTTGCTCATGACTTAATGGTTTTCTTTAGAGTATTGAGGGGATTTGTTTCTCTCTGTGTTTTTGTGAGCAGGACTGTGAGGAACAGGGTAGGTACTGGGATTTACTGGTGTGGTCTCTGCCAGCTACTTCCTCTCTCCCCACTCACTCTACACAGGAAATGTTTTTTTCCTCTGCTTGCTAACAGGTGTCCTTCTTCTCCCCATGGCAGTTATTCTATAAGAACGGGCAGCCTTTCCCTGCACATCGGCCTGTGGGACTAAGAGTTCACATCTCTCATGTCGAGCTAGCAGTGGAAATTCCAGTGACCCAGGAAGTCCTTCAGGAGCCCAATTCCAACGTAGTAAAAGTGGCCTTCACTGTGCGCAAGGCTGGGCGTTATGAAATCACAGTGAAGCTTGGTGGATTAAATGTGGCATATAGTCCCTACTACAAAATTTTTCAACCTGGTAGGTTCTTTTTTCCTTTCTTTTTCCCTTTGTCTCCTTCCCTCTCTCTCTTTCCATCCTGTCTTTCCTTTTTAAAAATAATACCTTTATTGAGATTTAATTCCCATGCCATAAAATTCATCCTTTTAAAGTATACAGTTTAATGGTTCTTTAAATGCAGCCATCATCACAGTCGATTTTAGAGCATTTTCATCACCTCAAAAAGAAACCCCATACATGTTAGTAGTCACTTTTCCCCCAAATCCCCCAGACCTAGGCAGCCACTCATCTGCTGCCTCTGTGGATTTGCCTGCTGTGTTTGGCTGCTTTTGTCTTGCTGTAAAGAAATACCTGAGACTGGGTAATTTATAAAGAAAAGAGGTTTATTTGGCTCATGGTTCTGCAAGTTGTACAAAAAGCATAGCACCAGCATCTGCTTCTGGTGAGGCCTCGCGAAGCTTCCACTCATGGTGGAAGGCGAAGCGGGAGCAGGAGTGCCTAATGGTGAGAGAGGGAGCAAGAGAGAGAGAGAGGGAGGAGGTGCTGGGCTTTTCTAAACAAACAGATCTTGCATGAACTCAGAACAAGAGCTTATTCATTACCATGAGGAGGGGACCAAGCCATTCATGAGGGATCCTCCCCTATGACCCCATCACCTCCCACCAGGCCCCACCTCCAACACTGGGAATCACATTTCAACATGCGATTTGGAGGGTACAAATATCTAAACCAGATTCAGTCATGCTGTAGCGTGAATCTGTACTTCATTTCTTTTTATTGACAAATAATATTCTATTTTATGTACATGCCGTATTTTATTTATCCTTTCATCAGTTGGTGGTCGAATTGTTTCTACTTTTGGGTACTGTAAGCAACACTACTGTGAACATTTGTGTACAAGTTTTTGTGTTGACATGTTTTTATTACTCTGGGAGTAAAATTGCTGAGTCATTAGTTTGGTTAGTTCTTAAGGGCTAAGGGCTGTGGTATCCACAGAAATAATAGGACCTGGGGTCCCTGGGTAACTTTTGAAGTGAAACCGTACTGAGTGGGGCCTTAAGATTTGTGTATCTTTGCTTGACTAGTCCTTAATTTTCTTTCTCTGATAGCAGAGTAAGGCTCTGGACAAAGTGGCTCTCAAGCCGTCTCTCTTTCCATGTATCCTCTCCTTTGCTTAAGTGCCTCACTCAGATACTCCTTTTCATATGAATTATCATCACCCACCTCTTTGCCACCAGTGGAGAACAGCTCATACCCTTACATGTACCAGCCTTTTTAAAAAAATTAAACTTTTTATTTTTTGATAATTGTATATTCATATGCATTTGTAAGAAATAATGCAGAGATCTGGTGTACCCTTTTCCCAGTTTCCTGCAATGGTAACATTTTCCAAAACTACTAGTACAGTATAACAGCCAGGTTATTGACATTGATACAGTCAAGGTACAGAACATTTCCATCATCACAAGGATCCCTTATGTTGCCCTTTTACAGCCACACCTATCCCCCCCAACCTGTTTCTTTCTTTTTTTTTTTTTCTTTTTTTTTTTGATGGCGTCTCGCCCTGTCGCCAGGCTGGAGTGTAGTGGTGCCATCTTGGCTCACTGCAACCTCCAACTCCCTGGTTCAGTGGATTCTCCTGCCTCACGCTGAGTAGCTGGGATTACAGGCACGTGCCACCACGCCCAGCTAATTTTTGTATTTTTAGTAGAGACAAGATTTCACCATGTTGGCCAGGATGGTCTCGATCTCCTGACCTCATGATCCGCTCGCCTCAGCCTCCCAAAGTGCTGGGATTACAGGCATGAGCCACCGTACCTGCCCCCCATCCCCAACCTGTTCTTAACCCCTGGCAACCCACGAATCTATTCCCCATTTCTATAATTTTGTCATTTGAAGAATATTATATAACTAGAATCATATAGTATATAACCTGTTGGGGTTGACTTTTCCTCACTCAGCATAATTTTCTGGAGATTCATCCAGGTTACTGAGTGTATCAGTAGTTGGTTCCTTTTTACTGCTGAGTAGTACAGGTTGAGTATTCTTCATCCAAAATGCTTGGGACCAGATGTGTGGTTTTGTGGTTTTTTTCTCTCCAAACGTGGTATAGGAATGTTTTGTTGTTTTTGAGACAGGGCCTTGCTCTGTCACCTAGGCTGGAATGCAGTGGCAGGATCATGGCTCACTGTAGCCTTGACCTGTTGGGCCCAAGCAATCCTTCCACCTCAGCCTCCCAAGTAGCTGGGACTACAAGTGTGCACCACCACGCTCGGTTAATTTTTTGATTTTTTGTTTTGTAGAGACAGTCTCATTATGTTAACCAAGCTGGTTTCTAACTCCTGGCCTCAAGCAATCCTCCTGCCTTGGCCTCCCAAGGTGCTGGGATTACAGGCATGAGCCACTATGTCTGCCTAGAAGTGTCTTGGATTTTGGATTTTTGGGGGTTTTGGAATATTGGCAATATACTTACTTACCACTTCAGCACCCTAGGCCAAAAATCTGAAACCCTAAATGCTTCAGTGAGCATTTCCTTTGAGTATCATGTAGGTACCCAAAATGTTTTGGATTTTGGAGCATTTTGGATTTCTGGTTTTTGGATTAGGGATTCTCTACGTATATTCTGTGGTCTGAATGTACCAGTTTGTTTAACTATTCATCTGTTAAAGGTCATCTGGGTTGTTTCCATTTGGGGGCTATGATGAATAAAGCTGCTATAAATATTCACTTACAGGTTTTTATGTGAACATAAATTTTCATTTCTCTAGTATGCAGTTGCTGAGATGTATTGGAGTTGTATGCTTAGTTTCTTTTAAATTGCCAAATTCTTTTCCAGAGTGGCTGTAGCATTTTACATTCCCACCAGCAATGTATGAATAATCCAGTTTCTTCACATCCTTGCTAACATTTAATGCTGTCATTATTTTTTATTTTAGCCATTGTGATAAGTGTGTAGTGGTATCTCATTGTGCTTTTAATTTGCATTTCTTAAATAGTTAATGCTATTGAACATCTTTTCATGTGCCTGTCTGTCATCTATGTATCCTTTGGTGAAATGTCTCTTCGTGTCTTTTGTCCATTTTCTTTTCTTTTCTTTTCTCTTTTCTTTTCTTTTCTTTCTTTCTTTTTTTCTTTTTTTTTTAGACATCCTTGCTCTTGCCCAGGCTGGTGTACAGTGGTGCTACCTTGACTCACTGCAACCAACCTCCTCTTCCCAGGTTCTGGCAATTCTCCTGTGTCAGCCTCCTGAGTAGCTGGGATTACAGGCAGGCACCACCACGCCTGGCTAATTTTTGTATATTTTGTAGAGACAGAGTTTTGCCATGTTGGCCAGGCAGGTCTCGAAATCCTGAGCTCAAGTGATCCACCCCCTTGGCCCCAAAAAGTGCTGGGATTACAGGCGTGAGCCACCACACCTGGCCCTTTTGCCCATTATCTAATGGGATTATTATTATTTATTTATTTATTTATTATTATTTTCTTTTTTTTGAGATGGAGTCTCGTTCTGACGCCCAAGCTAGAGTGCAATGGCACAATCTCAGCTCACTGCGACCTCCGCCTCCCATGTTCAAGCAATTCTCCTGCCTCAGCCTCCCAAGTAGCTGGGATTACAGGCATCTGCTATCATGCCTGGCTAGTTTTTTGTGTTTTTAGTAGAGATGGGGTTTTGCCCTGTTAGACAGGCTGGTCTCAAACTCCTGACCTCGGGTGATCCATCCACCTTGGCCTCCCAAAGTGCTAGGATTACAGGCATGAACCACCGTGCCCGGCCCATTTTGGCTTTTTACTGTTGACTTTTGAGAGTTCTGTATATATTCTATATGCTAGTCCTTTGTTAAACATATGGTCTGCAAATATTTTCTCCCCATCTGTAGCTTTTCTTTATTTCTTTTTGGAGACAGGGTATCACTCTGTCACCCATGATGGCGTGCAGTAGCATAGTCATGGCTCACTGCAGCCTTGACCTCTCCCGGCTTAGGTGATCTCCCATCTCAGCCTCCCAAGTTGCTGGGACTGTGGCATGTGCCACCACACCTGGCTAATTTTTATATTTTTTGTAGAGATGGGGCTTTGCCATGTTGCTCAGGCTGAGCTTTTCTTCTTATTCCCTTAACAGAGTTATTCACAGAGCACATGTTTTCAATTTTGATGAAATCCACTTTCTGAGGTGGGAGAATCACTTGAGCCCAGGAGTTCAAGACCGGCCTGGGCAACATAGTGAGACCTCATCTCTACAAAAAATTTATAAATTAGCTGGGTGTGGTGGCGTGCACCTTTAGTCCCAGCTACTGGGGAGTAGGGTGGAGAAGTGAGGTGGTAGGATAACAAGCCCAGGAGGTTGAGGCTGCAGTGAGCTGTGATCTTGCCACTACACTCCAGCCTGGGTGACAAAGTGAGACCCTGTCTCAAAAAAGAAAGAAAGAAATCCAGTGCATCCATTTTTTTCTTTTATGGTCAAACTGTTGGTGTCTAAGAAATCTTTGGTCTCAGATCCTGAAGATGTTCTCTTTTTTTCCCAAAAGTTTTTACAGTTTGAAAATGTGTATTTAGGGTCATGATCCATTTTTAGTTAATTTTAATAGATTTGGGTCAAGGTCCTCTTTTTTTTTTTTTTTTTTTTGCTTATACATGTCTTTACTCCAGCATCATTTGTTGGAAAGGTGATCTTTCATTTTCTATTACATTGCTTTTGTACCTTTATCAAAAAGCAGTTGGACATATTTGTGGGGGCTTATTTCATTAATCTGTGTACCTATCCCTCCTCCAGTACCACAGAATCTTGATTTCTGTAGCTCCCTCTTCTTTTCTTTTTTTTTTTTGAGGCAGGGTCTCACTCTGTCACCCAGGCTGAGTGCAGTGGTGCGATCATGATTCACTGCAGCCTTGGCCTCCTGGGTTCAAGTGATCCTCCTGCCTCAACCTCCCGAGTAGCTGGGACTACAGGCGTGCACCACCGTGCTTAGCTAATTTTTTATCTTTTTTGTAGGAATAGGGTCTCACTATGTTGCCCAGGGTGGTCTCGAACTCCTGGACTCAAGTAATCTTCCTGCTTTGGCCTTCCAAAGTGTTGGGATTACAGGCGTGAGCCAAGTCACACAGCCTGATTACTGTAGCTCTTATAATAAGTCTTGAAATTGGTAAGCTGACTCCACTTTATTCTTCTTTTTCAAAATTGTTTTAGTATTCTAGTTCCTTTGCCTTTCCATTTAAATTTTAGAATAATCTTAACTAAATCTATAAATAATCTTGCTGGAACTTTGATAAGAATTGTGTTAAACCTATATATCAATTTGGGGAAAATTGACATCTGTACTATGTTGGATCTTCCATAAACATGTCTCCATTTGTTTAGTTGTTTGTTGGTTTTTTTGTTTTATTTCTTCCAAGTTTTTTTCATTTTACTTAGGGTTTGCAGTGGTTAAGAATTTGTAACAAAAATAATTCCCCAAATTCATTTAAATTTCTCTATTTCTGTTTTTTCCTCTTTTTTTTTTTTTTAATAAAGAGACAGGGTTAGCTGGGCACCGTGGCTTACGCCTGTAATTCCAGCACTTTGGGAGGCCGAGGCGGGCAAATTACAAGGTGGGGAGTTTGAGACCAGCCTGGCCAATATGGTGAAACGCTGTCTCTACTAAAAATACAAAAATTAGCTGGGTGTAGTGGCGGGTGCCTGTAGTCCCAGCTACTCAGCTGAGGCAGGAGAATCGCTTGAACCCGACAGGCAGAGGTTGCAGTGAGCCGAGATCGTGCCACTGCATTCCAGCTTGGGTGACAGAGCGTGACTCTGTCTCAAAAAAAAAAAAAAAAAAAAAAAAGGAGAGAGACAGGGTCTCCCTTTGTCACACAGGCTAGAATGCAATGGTGTGGTCATAGCTCACTGTAGCCTTTACCTCCTGGGCAAAAGTGATCCTCTTGCCTTAGCTTCCTGAGTAGCTGGGACACAGGCATGAACCACCATGCCTGGCTAATTTTTATTTTTTGTAGAGATGGTCTTGCTATGTTGCTCAAGCTGGTCTTGAACTTCTTAAGGGATCCTTAAGGGATTCTCTGGCCTTGGCCTCCCAAAGTGCTGGGATTACACGTGTGAGCCACCGCACCTGGCCTCTCTTCCTCTTGATAGTGTTATTTATCCCTAGGAATTGGGAGGAAACCTAGCTTTCTAGGACCCACTGAGCAGATCTTTGTGCCCTGAAGAGCACCTTTAAATGTTAGATTCCAGCCGGGCGTGGTGGCTCACGCCTGTAATCCCAGCACTTTGGGAGGCCAAGGCGGGCGGATCAGGAGGTCAGGAGATCGAGACTATCCTGGCTAACACAGTGAAACCCCGTCTCCACTAAAAATACAAAAAAAAATTCTCTGGGCATGGTGGCGGGCACCTATAGTCCCAGCTACTCGGGAGGCTGAGGCAGGAGAATGGCATGAGCCCGGAAGGCAGAGCTTGCAGTGAGCCGAGATTGCGCCACTGCACTCCAGCCTGGGCGAAAGAGCGAGACTCCATCTCAAAAAAAATAAAAATAAAAAAATAAAATAAATAAATGTTAGATTCCATTGTCTTTGTTCCAGGAATGGTGGTTCCTTCTAAGACCAAAATTGTGTGCCACTTTTCTACTCTTGTATTGACCTGTGGGCAGCCGCACACCCTTCAAATAGTACCCCGAGATGAGTATGATAATCCCACCAACAATTCCATGTCCTTGAGAGATGAGCACAATTACACCTTGTCCATTCATGAGGTAAGCAGTCTCCCTTCTTTATCTGTGTGCTAGAGAGAGCTGGCTCCTTTCTCTGTTATTCTCACACCTAATTCACTTCGATCTCTCTTTCCTTCTCCTTGACTTCTGTGCTGTCTGTATCTTCATCTGACAATACCTGTCTCATTAGTAATTTTGTGATTTAGATTAGATCATAGATAGGAAAGCTCTTTGTAAGGAGTAAAGTGGCTTGTAAATGGGAAAATACTATATGTTAAGTGATGCTCTGTTGCCTTCCTATAGCTCGGCCCTCAAGAAGAAGAGAGTACTGGTGTCTCATTTGAGAAATCAGTAACATCCAACAGGCAGACTTTCCAGGTGTTCTTGCGACTCACCCTGCATTCTCGAGGCTGCTTCCATGCTTGCATTTCATACCAAAATCAGCCAATCAATAATGGTGAATTTGACATTATTGTCCTAAGTGGTAAGTTAAAAGAAAAGTATGATTTAGTGCTGTTCTTCAGCCGTTTCTTTGCCTGTTTGCACTCTTTTGTCTGACCTCACAAACATTTGATATTTGGGCCACATTTGGCTTGTCCTGTGGACTAAAAGCCTGTGATAGGTAATTTTTTTCTTCTCTGACTTCTACTTTAAACCTTATTCCTTATTATACTTCAGAGGATGAGAAGAATATCGTCGAACGCAATGTGTCCACTTCAGGCGTGAGCATTTACTTTGAGGCTTATCTTTATAATGCTACCAACTGTAGCAGCACTCCATGGCACCTGCCACCCATGCACATGACCTCTTCCCAGCGCCGGCCATCCACTGCTGTTGACGAGGAAGATGAAGACTCGCCCTCTGAGTGCCACACCCCTGAGAAGGTGAAGAAACCGAAGAAGGTGTACTGCTATGTGTCACCAAAGGTTGGACCTTCCATTCTCGACATAAAATCCCCCTGCTTGAACCTGTGTGTAATTGGTATTTGGTAGCAGAAACCACAAAGTAACAGTCTGAGAATCAGGGCAAGATTGTTAACTAGTTGTATAGAAAGCCACTTTCAACTGTTAAAAATTTCTTGCTAGCATAAAAATTACTGTTGGCTTCTTGTGCTGTGTCAAAACAATTTGATCTTTTGTTCTGTGATTCATGAAACCACAGTAAATGGATGTCACTATTAGGCTACAGGATTGGAGTAAAGAAATTTTGGCAGAGGAAAGAAGGTGAATTTCCCAAGCCCCTGAGCTAAGAAGCACTTTGTGTTAGTTTCTTTTTAATATTTGTTTTTCCTTATTCATTCAGTCCTCATAAAAATGAGACTCTGTGAAACATCCCATTGCATCTCTTTAATCTCATAACCAAAACTGAGTTCTAATTCTGTTCTACTTCAGAACACTTTGCTGTGTACCATTCTTCATTTAAAAATCTAGCCTTAATTTGGACTAGGGGTGATGGTAATGAGGGAAATGGGTAAGTGAATAAATGAAACAAGATTGGCTATGAATTGATAATTGTTGAAGCAGCTGATAGTTTCATTATACTTCTTTGTCTTCTTTAGTATGTGTTTGAAATTTTCTTTAAACTTTTTTTTATCAAGAAAACAACTGACCTGCACATTCAGATAAAAGGGATTTTTTAAGATTAAAAAATTTTTGCATTGTCTTTTCCTCTTTTGTATGAACTTTTTTGTGTGAGGACCTTCCCCTATACCACCAACATATTCCACTCCAGCTCACCCCATCTTGCCTCCCTTCCCTGGCAGATCCTTGGCACCATTCAAATAGGTATAAAGCAGTGTGTATGGGTTGCTGGTGTTTGCTATCCAGTAACTTGGAGGAAGTCATTCTGAGCATCATGGGGCTGAGCAGAAGGAGATTTTGATTGTTTCTAGGTGAAATATTCTGTTCTCATAAAGTGAAAACCTGATCCCAGATATTTAGAAAGACTTGAGTATTACAATTATGAAATATCTCTGTGTGAAACTGCATTGTCAGTCATATTTTTTTTATTTATTTTATTTTTTGAGACAGGGTCTCACTTTGTCACCCATGCTGGAGTGCCATGGTCCAATCTCAGCTCACTGCACCCTCTGCCTCCCGGGTTCAAGCGATTCTTGTGCCTCAGCCTCCCGAGTACTTGGGATTACAGGCATGAGCTACCGCACCCAGCTAATTTTTTTGTATTTTTAGTAGAGACTGAGTTTTGCCATGTTGGCCAGGCTGGTCTTGAACTCCTGGCCTCAAGTGATCTGCCTGCCTCGGCCTCCCAAAGTGCTGAGATTATAGATGTGAGCCATCCACACTTGGCCATCAGGGTAATATTTTTAATTTGCCTTTTTAAATAGAGAGTTAATGTATTTATTTGACTTTAGTACTCACTAAATTATTACTTTTGTCCATGGAGAGGAAAGGTTATGAGAAATGTAAATAGGGACTATGATATTTGAATTAGAATACCCAAATAGAGCCTTTTTATTTATCATTCACTTCATTTCCTGTCTGTTGGTCCTCCAGCAATTCTCAGTGAAGGAGTTCTACCTGAAGATCATCCCCTGGCGCCTTTACACCTTCCGAGTGTGTCCAGGAACAAAAGTAAGCTGAACCTTACATCTGGTTCACATCAAGCATGCTTCATCTCTGGACTATCTCAGCCTTTTATTTTTTCTCAGAAGCACTTTTAGTGTTTCTGCAAGATCTCACAGTGTACACAGGATTCGTTGCCAAATAAAGCATCATTATCTCCTCACTAAATGGCATGAAGAATATATAAATTCTGGAAGGACGCATGCCTACAGAAACAGGAATTAGCAGCAACTCAGAATACTTCAACAGTGATCCTTTGCCTTCAAGACTAAGTTAATAGAGAAGATGTTTGTAACTCTGGCCCAAGCTTGGTCTCCCAGTGTGCTGAAGCTAACTCCTTTTAGAAGCACCACTCTCATATATTAAAATACATTGTTTGTTTGTTGTTAACTTTTCTGGGCTTCTGGAATCTAAACTTTTGCCCAAAGGCTAGAATGTGCCATTTTATAAAAATAGTTTTCTTCTGATCAGTTTGGAGTAGTCATTTATTGCTGTTTAATATATCCTTACTATTGCTATTTAATATATCACCGTATTGCCATTTATTGCTATTTAACATATCACCCTTCTTATATTTTATGTTAGAAGGTCTGTAGTTTTGCTGGTGGTCCTAACTAAAGGCAGTCTCTGTGACTAAAATAATTTTAAATGTTGAAATGTAAATCACTGAAGGGAAAAATAATGAAATGTATTTCTGGTAGGTCCTCATTTGGAGAAAACAAGCCTAACTTATTGTTGTTGGTTGGTACACAGGATAGAGCTGTGGAGGACTTTTACTGGCCTTGAGGGTTTTATAGATTAATTTCTTTGTTTTTCTTTACCAGTTTTCATACCTTGGTCCTGACCCTGTCCATAAGCTGCTCACACTGGTGGTGGATGATGGCATTCAACCTCCTGTGGAGCTCAGCTGTAAGGAGAGGAACATTCTAGCAGCCACTTTTATCCGCTCCCTGCATAAGAACATAGGTGAGGTTACACAGGGATTCTATAGGGAAGGTAGTGAGCCCAGCCACATCCATGAGGGTGGAGAGGCAGGACTACACAGATGGCTTGTAATGAGGCTGTAATGATGGATCTTGCTGTTCCCCAGGAGGCTCTGAGACCTTTCAGGACAAGGTGAACTTTTTCCAGCGAGAGCTTCGGCAGGTACATATGAAAAGACCACATTCCAAAGTCACCCTGAAGGTCAGCAGACATGCCTTGTTGGAATCGGTAGGTAAAATTTCATCTCTGTCAGCAGATACCAAAGTTTTCCAATTGAATGTCTATATTCTGCAGGTTACTGTTTTTGTTTTTGTTTTTGTTTGGGAGATAGGGTCTCACTCTATTGCCCAGGCTGGGGTGCAGAGGTGCGATCATGGCTCACTGCAGCCTCGATCTTCCCGGGCTGTGATCCTCCCAACTCAGCCTCCCAAATAGCTGGGACTATAGGTATGTGTCACCATGCCTGGCTAATTTTTGTATTTTTTGTAAAGATGGGATTTTGCCATATTGCTCCGGCTGGTCTCGAACTCCTGGACTCAAGTGATACACCCGCCTCAGCCTCCCAAAGTGTTGGGATTACAGGCATGAGCTACCATGCCTGATCTGGTTATCTTTTTCATGAAACTTAAATTTCTCTGTTTAAGTAAAGATATAGATATACTTATAAAAGACAGATATACTTATAAAAGACAGATATACTAAATTTCTGAAACCTAAATTTCTCTCTTTACATATGTCTGTTCTTCTATTTGATTCTACTAAATTTGGGGCAGTTTTGTTGGAGGTATGTTATCGAGGGAAGAGCAGTTTACTTACTGGCCTTCAAATCTACTGAATGGGTCCCTTGGAACTCCCATGTAGGGCAGGTGTAAATAGTGATTACAGAAGAAACTTCTTGTTATTGAATCCCTGGAATAGAGCGCTTGTTGAATTAAAAGGAAATGATTTTTGTTGTCACTTTGGTCTGATGGAAAAGGAACACCTGATGTGTGTCTGTCTCCACTGCACAGACACTGGCATAGTTCTTACATTCCCCAGGAATGAGAAGGCTTGGTTCCTGTCCAGAAAGTGTTTGTGATGTTTGGCTCTGGTAGGTGTGACTGGAAACCCGTTTTCTCAGCCATATTCTCCGTGTGGCATGGCTCGCTGTCTGAACCTAGCCTTGTGGATAAATATGTCTAGTGGATAGATCATACTTTGCTGAAAACCAGGATTCCTTGGTTCTTTTGCCTACAGCTTACTGACTTGAGTCATTTTTTACTTCTTTATGCAAGAATGTTTTCATTGCTAAAACAAGGATTGTTTAAAACAAAAGGAAAAGAAAAAAACAACTTCAGCTTTCCAACAAAGTGATGATGTAAAGGCAAATCAGATTATTTTTTAAAACTTTAAATTTGAAGTTATGTGCATTTTAAATGTCAGGTGGTATCATTAAAGCTTGTTTATGAGTAACATATCTCCTTCAGGCAGTCGTAGTTAGTCCAGCAGACAATGGCAGTGCTCTTGTGTTGTCTTTAACATCCAGAGGACACCAGCCAGTGTTCTGACAATTCCCTTCCTTTCACTTCTTTTCAGTCTCTGAAAGCCACTCGGAATTTCTCCATCTCAGATTGGAGCAAGAACTTTGAGGTTGTTTTCCAGGATGAAGAAGGTCAGTTTTGAAATTTTATATTCATCTTTTTGAACTCTCCTCCCCACTCGCACCTTCTCCACAAAAAAAAAAAAAAAAAAAAAAAAGCAACTCTTACCTCCTACTCACTCCCTAAAAAAAAAAACCTAGGTTTTTTTTTCCCCAAGGAAAAGGGAACCATGAGTCAAGAAAAAAAGGGTAGTATTTACTGGCCAGGATGGCATTGAGGAGCTTGTGGTACACAGACATACAGGGACTTGGAGAGAGAGTTCTAAGTGTTTGAACCGTGGTTACCTTGAGAGAAATGTCCATTTCCTGGGATCTCCGACCTCTGGTGTTTCCATACTAGGGGGCTTTTCCTTAGTGATCAGAATACCATTAATCCTACAAAAAGGGGTGGGATTTCTAAAGGACCACAGTTTAGATGAGTCGCAACGGAGAAACACCAGAGTAGTACAATAGAGGGAATGTGGAGAGTATAAAATGATGACTCAATAAACAAAAGTGGTAAGAGGAGGGAGGGCAGAGTCATTTTTTATTTTCATTATGCTTTTCAGCTCTGGACTGGGGAGGGCCTCGCCGGGAATGGTTTGAGCTAATCTGCAAAGCACTATTTGATACCACCAATCAGCTCTTCACCCGGTTCAGTGACAACAACCAAGCATTAGTGAGTTGGTGACGGGTGGGTGGAAAATGTGGATTATGTTATCATGGGTAGACTAACAAGGATTCAAAATTATGAAACTGATCTGGGAACCTGACAACCTGTGTCCTATTCTTAATTTTACTGCTTAAAATATAAGCTAATCAGATTGTCTTTCTCCTCTTTGCCTTTATTATTTCATCTGTAAAATAAGCAAAAATGCAGGCAGCTGAATATTTGACTAAAAACATTATAGTATAATGTCTACTCTACTAATTATTATAATAATTAAGCCTCTTTCTCAAAACATACCTGAAGCAAATGATTCCTGTACTAGATCTTTGTCTAGACAAAGGTGTCAGGAGTAGAGAAGTACACTTTGGCTGAAAGAAGTTCTGGTTTAGGGAAAAGGCATCACATCATCTGCTGATTAACCACAAACTTAATATAAGATTCTTAATTATGTCCACCTTTGCCCTTTATCTTCTAGTCACTTTGAATTACTCAGTGGTGGCTACCAAAAAACTAACATTTGGATGGGCTCTGATCCTCACAGTGACATCTTGTTCCTTTGGCATGGGGTTGGGGAAGGAAGGGTCCTTCCAGAACTGGGCTTGAAGAAAAATGGCCCAGGGCCTTTCAGTCTCTTTCTTGGACAGGTGCATCCCAACCCTAATCGCCCCGCTCATCTGCGCCTGAAAATGTATGAGTTTGCGGGACGGCTCGTGGGCAAGTGTCTCTATGAGTCCTCTCTAGGAGGAGCCTACAAGCAGTTGGTCCGAGCTCGCTTCACCCGCTCTTTCCTGGCCCAAATCATAGGACTGCGTATGCATTACAAGGTAACATCTTGGGTGTGCATTTCCTACTAAGGCCCCTGGCCATTAACCCTGAAATCTCTCCTCCTGGGCTTGTAAATAATTTTTAAGGTTGAAGGGATAAGTGGTTCTAAGCAGTTACACCTTTCAGGGCAAGAGTATTCATGTTCTGTTCTGTGTCTTTCTGCCTCCTCAGTACTTTGAAACAGATGACCCAGAATTCTACAAATCTAAAGTTTGTTTTATCCTCAACAATGACATGAGTGAGATGGAGCTGGTCTTTGCAGAAGAGAAATATAATAAATCAGGTCAATTGGATAAGGTGAGAAAGAGGACAAAGCCTCTGGGTCCTATGTTCTCCAGTTTCCTGTAGAGCAGGACTGTCTAAGAGAACTTTCTGCAGTGGTGGAAATGTTCCATATTTGTGTTGTCTATTAAACACCCAAAATGTGGGTGACATAATAAGTGAACTTCTCATTTTAGTTAATGTATACTTACATAACTACACTTGGCTAGCAGCTGCTGTATTGGACAGCACAGCTTTAGGACATTGCATCCTATGCTTTATGATCTCAGCCCATTTGAGTGAAGCAAAAGACACATATCTCCATCTATCCCACCGAGTCCTGCTTCCAGTTGAAAAATAACTGAATGATGGTGAAGTGTCACTGTACAAGCAGATTTGGAAGAGATGGCAGTGTCTGTGTCAACATTTGCAGTAGTGATGTAGGTGATTCCTATTTTAACACAATGCCTGGGTATTTTTAAACTTTTTGGCTGGGCGCAGTGGCTCATGGCCTGTAATTGCAACACTTTGGGAGGCTGAGGCAGGAGGATGGCTTGAGACCAGGAGTTCAAGACCAGCCTGGGCAACTTTGGCAAGACCCTGTCTTTTAGATTTTAAAAATCTAGCTGGGTATGGTGGCGTGTGCCTGTGGTCCTAGCTACTGGGGTAGTGTGGGAGGAAGTGGGCGCTGAAGCTGGAACATCGCTTGAGCCCAGGAGGTTAAGGCTGCAGTAAGCTGTGATTGCACCACTGCACTCCAGCCTGGGTGACACAGCAAAACCCTATCTCAAAATAATAAAACCAAAACTTTTTATTAGAAAATGATGGCCCAGAGATATTTCCGATGCATGTGCTTCTATTTACATTGTGGTGTTAAACAGCATCAAATGATAATGATGACGCTAAAGTTGCAGTAAATTTAAAGTTAAAAGCAGAATAGGAATGATTGAAAAATTGTGACCATTGGTACCACTATACTGATAATCAGATATCCTTTCTGGAAATTATGGGATTCCCAGCTGTCTGCCTTTGTACACATGGGATTAGACCCAACTTCCTGAGCTGGCATGGTAAGGCAGCTAGAGTCAATAGGACACTGAATTAGGGTCCTCAGACCCAGGGTAGTGCTCATTTTAATTGTGTTTAATATGAATACTAAATCTTAATAATTTATTTCTCAGTCTCCTAGATAGAAATGCTTACATTAAAAAAAAAATCCAGGATTGTGCATACCAACAGAAAAAATGTTTTACATTTTTAGATCCATTGAGAATCCCTGCTGTGGAGTAGCATGCTATTGCTACCATGCTGTTGTCTTAAAATCTGATCTTGTAACTTCATTCACCTGTGGAGACAACCTTGGTCACTCTACACAAATATTCCTGGATGATGGTTTTAAGCTGTGCTTCAGGGCTCCTTCAAAGTTCCCTTAGGAGTTTATTGGGGGATACCAATTCTGTTTGAGAGTCATACAGTTTGTTCACCTTTTTCTTTGCAGAGAGGAAAGTTCAGGCCAAATAATTTCCCCTAAGGTCTGGAGGGGCAATTAACCAAAGGTCTGTAGCAAGCTAGCATCAGGGCTGAGATTAGAATCCAGGATCTTCAAGTATCAAACTGTGGCTTGTTCTGTTGACTCACATTAGAGATAAAAGAATGTGTGGGAACAATTGTTCCCATCTTGGAATTTCTGAGACATAAAAAGACTTCCTTACTGCTTATCTGATTTTACTCTTAGTTGCTTAGAGAAGAGGTCAATAGTGGTTTCATTTTGGATCATAGATTAAAACATTGCTAGCGAGGAGCCATAGTATCTTCCTATTGCATCACTACTACTTGACTGAGTCAGAGAAGACCTTACCCAGGCACCCATTTCAGAAATAATAGCTAGTATACAGCAATAGTGGTAGGAACCCTGAAGCTTAGGAACTAAATTAAACCAAGTGTGTTGAAAAGCTGAATGCACAGCAGAAACTTGTGACTGACAGTGATGGAGGTCAGTAATCTGTGTCTATAAAACATCCAGGCAGATGTCATCTCATAAATTTCCATCCACAGCCTCTCCCTTGTCTGTCTTTTGCTGCCTGTTACAGGTTGTAGAACTCATGACAGGTGGAGCTCAAACTCCAGTCACCAATGCGAATAAAATCTTCTATTTAAATTTGCTGGCCCAATATCGGCTGGCCAGTCAAGTGAAAGAGGAGGTGGAACATTTCCTAAAAGGTGGGATCCTGTCTGTTCTTGGCCTTGAAGTTAAAATACCTGTATCCATGGTGTGGGTATGACTTTAACTTGCCTACTTTGTTTCAGGCCTGAATGAATTGGTCCCTGAGAACCTTTTGGCTATTTTTGATGAGAATGAGCTTGAGGTAAGTGATTGCAATTCAGACTCCCATTCTTAACTTGGCATTTTTGTAGCTTACAGGAACCAGCTTGGTGTACCTTCTCTTATGAGATGCAGCTGGAAAGCCATTTATGCAAGAGGTGGTTTCACTTTTGTCGCTCCTCCATTCATTGACCCTTCAGCCTTTAAAAAATTAGAATGTGAAAATTAGTAGCAAAGAGTGCAGAGATATTAGCTTAAGGGATAAATAAATGAAAGTAGCAAGTAGCTCATTATTTATGAAGAGTAATAATTAATACTCATTTATTCATCAAGTATCACTGAGGCCGGGCATGGTGGCTCACTTCTGTAATCCCAGCACTTTGGGAAGTTGAGGTGGGTGGATCACCTGAGGTCAGGAGTTCGAGACCAGCCTGGCCAACATGGTGAAACCCCGTCTCTACTGAAAATACAAAAATTAGCTGGGTGTGGTGATGCACGCTTGTAATCCCAGCTACTTGGGAAGCTGAGGCATGAGAATTACTTGAACCCCGGAGGCGGAAGTTGCAGTGATCCGAGATCGCACCACTGCATTCCAGCCTGGGCAACAGAGTAAGACTCTGTCTCAAAAAAAAAAAAAAAAAAATCAATGAGTAGTAAAGAATGTTAATATCATGTACCGTCTATAAAATCCTATGACATTTAAGGGAGTAATAGAATTTATTTTTTCAGGTATATATTGAGTGCCTCCTGAGGCACTGCAGAGAGAGTAACGAATAAGACAAAGTTCCAGCCCTCATGGGCTACATTCTAATGAAGTGAAGGAAACAAACCAAAAGATGAGATCATATTTCAAAAGCATTAGACCAAAACAGTATATAGTATATATTTTTATTTATATAGTAAATTCATTCTTATTTCAGATCCTGTAACAACTAAAAAATGGCTCTAAGATGGTAAATACCATTCTATGCAGAACTGAAGTCCGTATCAGGTGTGGGCAAAGAATAACATCAATTTGTTGTGGCCTGTTGCTCACAGATGAGACATCAGTACAAAATGGTGCAGTGCAAGTTACTAGTTATAAATTCCCGTAGTTTCTATGAGGAGTGTCTTTCTGCAAACGTTTCTTTAGGGAGGAAGGTTTTCTTTTAAAATGGGGGAAAAAGTAATTTTAGGTGGTCTTGCCCAATTCTTATTTCTATTAACTGAAGTAGATTTGAGAACAAGAATCAAAATCTTCTGTAATTTTCATGTTTTATATCTTCAGATGTGAAATCCAAACAAAATGAACTCTCCACAGCTCAGCCTAAAGTTTCTGATAAACCTGTTACCTAGCACTGTTATTTTTTGGGCTGAGGAATAACTACTGGTAAATTTTGTTACATTTTGAAGCAAAGCATTTGTAACAATTTGTAGAAGTAAGTAGAAAGGAAGGACATGGTCTCTTACAGTTGTTCCACATCCTGCTCTTAGTTCCTGGTCAGCTTAGCAAGTTCTTTTTGAAGGAGCCAAGGCTTCTCAGGCTCAGTTTGGGCTCTTCTTGTCTCTGGTTAGAATGTATTATTCTTTATAGCTATTGGATGAGTACTTGCAGTCTGCTAAGTAACATGCTGGATCCTGAACCAAATTAGGACATTAACAAGATGTTTAAGGCTCTGATGTCATTAATGTTCTCATTTTTTGGCATACTTTTAAATGTATCTGATCAAGTAGAGGCAGAAGCTGAAGGGAAGGTAGTAAAAGTTCAATCCACAAAAGAATGCATCCTAAGAAAAAGGAAAGGTCATTGACAAATTCATAAATGGGCCTGGGGATTTTGGGGAAACAGCTTGCCTTTTCTCCTTGATATTCCCAGGCTAAGTTTAGAGCAGACTGTCAGGAAACAGTTTGTGTGTGTGTGTTTTGTCCTTTGTTTCATTTAAAAATAATCCATAGTAGCAGTTCTTAGGGTGTTCATCAGAAATACCTCGCCTGTAATCCCAGCTACTCAGGAGGCCGAGGCAGGAGAATCACTTGAGCATGCAAGGTGGAGAGGTGGAGGTTGCAGTGAGCCGAGACAGTGAGACTCCGTCTCAAAAAAAAAAAAAAAAAGAAAAGAAAGAAATACCTGAGCAATTTTTTTTCTTCCTGTATAAGCTCATAACCTGTTCCGAGAGATTCAGATTTAGAGGTCCCAGGTAGGGCCACCAACACTTGTATAAATATATATTTTAAAAGCCATGTGAATCTTTTTTTTACCCACTGGTTAGCAACTATTGCCCTGTTGTATGTAATTGATTTTCCTAAAGCAGTATTCTGGCATTATGACCTCACCTTCTGTCTTTTTCCTGGTAATGTTTTCTTCTACATTTTGCCTGTTAACTTAGGTAATTTTGACCTTATATTGGGTCTTTGTCTCTCTGACTGTCATAGTAACACCTTACCATCTTTTTCCAGCTGCTGATGTGTGGGACTGGAGACATCAGTGTGTCTGACTTCAAAGCCCATGCAGTAGTTGTTGGTGGCTCATGGCATTTCAGAGAAAAGGTAAATGGACCAAACTTCTTTCAGTTGGATTTGTGCCATGTTATAAGGAAAAAGTTTCAGAAGAAAAAAGTAGAGGAGGCCGGGCGCAGTGGCTCATGCCTGTAATCCCAGCACTTTGGGAGGCTGAGGCAGGCGGATCACAAAGTCAGGAGTTTTGAGACCAGCCTGGCCACATGGTGAAAGCCCGACTCTACTAACAATACAAAAAAAAAAAAAAAAAAATTAGCTGGGTGTGGTGGCACATGCCTGTAGTCCCAGCTACTCGAGAGGCTGAGGCAGGAGAATCGCTTGAACCCAGGAGGTGGAGTGAGCTGAGATCACGCCACTGCACTGCAGCCTGGGTGACAGAGCGAGACTCTTTCTCAAAAAAAAAAAAAAAAAAAAAAAGAAAGGAAAAGAAGAAAAAAGTAGGGGAGTCAAAGCAGTTGATATGTTTTCTGGGAAAAAAAAATGATGCATGGGGAAAGATAGGTGGTTGTCCAGGCAGAAGGGAGCCCTGATCCCTAAGGGCTGTCATGCTGACTGCCACAGGAGTAGTAAATTGGAGATGGCGAAGAAAGAGAACCAACAGTCAGTGACTACCCTCCTAATCATGTGACAGTGTAAATTCTTGAAGTGCTTGTCAAACTGTTCCTACCCTGTGTCCTCATAGAACGGTAACTGGGGCACAGCCCCACTTTAGTGTATCTTGTTCCTTCCCCAGGGATCTAATCCTAGCTTGTTTACTGTGTGTGATCCCAGCCTTGTGCTCTCCCTGCCAGGTCATGAGGTGGTTTTGGACTGTGGTTTCCAGTCTGACCCAGGAGGAGTTGGCTCGGCTACTTCAGTTCACAACAGGCTCCTCTCAGCTACCACCTGGAGGCTTTGCCGCCCTCTGTCCCTCATTTCAGATTATTGCCGCTCCGACCCATAGCACGCTGCCTACTGCACACACATGGTAGGTATCTGCCCGCCTGATGCATGCCCAGTGTTTTTGGTGGTATGAGTTAATCACTTCTCCCTTGCCCTTCCAGTTTTAACCAGCTGTGCCTCCCTACATATGACTCCTATGAAGAGGTGCACAGGATGCTGCAGCTGGCCATCAGCGAGGGTTGCGAGGGCTTTGGCATGCTCTGACCACTCTCCTGTCATCCAGTTGGCTCCCATGCTCTCTGGAGCTTCTGGGCGCAAGTTACAGACATCATAACCACTGATCCTAACACACATAACCATCAGCCAGAAGATGCCGCATGCTCCCCTGTGTCTGGAGGATTTTGTCACCTACAAGCCTTGTCTTTACCTCACCTGCTCCCTGCCCATATCTACCACAGGCCACTTTGGCATGGTATGTAAGCTGAGCTCTTCATTCTGTCATGAGAAGAGGACCATGCTGCTATCATTTATTTGGTCCTTTGAAGATCTCAGTAGCTGAGGGAGATGGCACACGGGGCTCAGCCCTGTTGGGAAACTGGTGTGGAGACCCTTAAATCCACACTGTGCTCCAAAACTCCCTCTGCTGATACTCCTTGGAGACACCCTCTTTGGCCCTCACTACTTGACCAGACTGGTACTTGAGTCCTTCTCATGGGTGGGGTGATTGCCTCTTCTCATCAGGAGCCAGGAGAGAGGGGGACAGATAGGAGGTGGCCCATAGGAGCAGTCCCGCTGCACAATGGTAGGCATAGGCCATGGCACTGGACTGCCTCTAAGGACTGCTAAAAAGAATATTTTTTTGTGGTGTCAGAACTGGAAAAAGCACTTTCCCTTCGGGCATTTCTGGAAATGATTATTAATCCACAAAGAAGAACTCTGTAAGCTTTTTCTTGAATTGTAGCCAGTGAGAAAAGCAGATAGACTGAAGAATATGAAGGATAGCTGAGCTGTAGCCTCCAGAGTGGGGCATGCCTAGGCATATGGCTGGCTTGGAGACTACTGATGCTTTTCCCTGAGTTTGTTATTGGCACTGAAGTATGGCCGGCTTGGGCCACTGACTTCCCCATTATGTAGTCTGCTAAAAGCTGGGGATCCTTTAGCATTCTACTGAAGAAAATTTTGTAGCAAAAGATTAGAACAGTAAGAATAGTATGCCAGCAATCCCTGATTCTCTCTCTGCTTGGTGTTCTCTGGCAGCACTAAGACAAAGGAACAGGGACTAGGAGTTTACGTGCTTATCACAGGTCCTTGGCGTCAGGACACTAGGGATGAACATGGAGGTGATATGTTACACAGTAAACACCTGCCAACCCCTGTACTCCCCTTTGCTCCATCAGTTATCAGGAAGGAGAACTAAGGAGGGAGGAAGCTTATTAGGTTCACTGTTGAATGATGATTGAAGAGTACCTGCTGCTGTATCTTGGAAGATGACAACATCCTTTTTCATTACTGTTTGATTGAAAATAATTTCAAGATTCAAAATCTCATTGACTTCCCAAATTTGTGTTTTTAAGAAGGCTTTGCTGCAAGCTACCATTCCCAATGGGGCAGTCAACTCTGAGAATATTACAAGCCATCTTTATTGCCAAAACCAGCAAGTACACAGAGTCCTGAAACAAGGCAGGACTTTGGCAATGCCTTGGCCTCCTGGAAGCATGTCTGAGCCCTCCTGTTCGCAGGGATCATGAGGAACAAGCCCTCCTGAGCTGCTACAGTTCCTGCCTGACCTCAGTCTTTCGCAGTCATCATTTGTCCTTTCTTGGCACATGGGTGCTGACCTCACTCATCCTTGGGGTCCGGGATCCAGCATCAGGGTCTCTATACCCCAGGATCCTCCATGCCACATGGTCACTGCTCTCCTCAGGGACCAGGACAAGGTGCTGCTGCTTGCCCAAATGTTTTCCCATGGGATATGTACCGGAAGGTTTATCACCACCCTGGGAAACATAATGCTGCCCCTTGGGCCCAGAAAGGGGTTTCCAGCTGGGGGCACGTGGACTGGTTCTGCTGTTTTTGGCAGTCGCTTTTCTGAATTCTCCCCTCCGGCAGCCTTCCAGAGACTGATCCTGGAGATTGAGTTGATTGTCTTGGCTAGACCTGTCATTTTAAGCTCTAGTCATAGCACTTTTTCAGAGCATCTTAGGCACCATTGCAACCCAACCAGGGAAGCTGCATCCCTGTGGTGGTCCTTAGGCACCAGTCTTTGTTAAACAAAACCCTTTGGCACTATTGTGGTTTTCTATTCTCTGTCTGAACTCTATTCAAAAGTATCTTTGCTCTCTTGGGCCTTTTCTTTTACTGTTTTGTTTTTTTTTTTTCTAATCCTGCTTTCATACTAGCCAGTGTGGGGAAAAGGTACAATATGTCAAAGAGATGAGAGAGTGTTATTTCTTGGGCAATTTTCTATTAGTGTTTCTTATTTTGGCCAGTTCTTTTATTTATGTCCTTGTGACCCAGGTACTTGGGGGGCCAGCTACCCTTCTGGCCTTTTAGCGTCTTTGAAGGAGACCAGACATGAGTGAATACCTAGGAGAGTGTCAGCATGTTTCTGGAAAATTGGCAGAGACCAAGCCCTGCTGCAGATTCGTCAGGCCAGGTGAAAGGGCCAGGCAGTTGCAGCTGATGATGTAAATATTTTGTACAGTAGATAAATAAATGTTTAAAAGAACTAAGGAGTGAGTGGCTGCTTTAAATGGAGATTCATGGCTTGACTGGAAGGTGGGGAAGGAAAAGATTTGGAAATGATTTTGCATTTCCCCAGGAATTCCTCCTGAAGTGGTCGGCTCGGGGTAGAGTGTACACCTGGAGTCCTGGCCTGTCCCACTCTTGCCCTTTCACCCTTCCCTGATTGCTGTCCATGGTGCCAGGCAGGGCCACTGTCTCAGCCATGGGGAGACGAGGACAAGTGTTTATGCTCAGTTTCTGAAGAAGGAACCGGTTAATCAGTCTTTAAACAATAATTCATTGTTGTTTTACTACCTAGAAATTCAATATAGAAAATTTGGAAATAAGAAAAAGAACAAGGGAAATAGGTAAGTTGCTATCCAGAGGTAATCACCGTTAACACTTTGATAAATAGCCTTTTGATTTTCATATTTAAGCACACATTTGTCTCCCAACATCTCCCTCACCCACAAGGGGTTTGGGAGTGGCAAACAAAAATACTGCTCCTAAGAAGTTTGTTGGCGGCAAGTCTTACCGATTCTTTTCAGCTTACAAAGGTAAGCTTGGAAGAGAAGAAAAAAAACAGACCTCTGATTTGGGCCTAGAAGGAGTAGTATTAAGGACCCTGACTTTCTTGGGAAAGTAATTATGATGTCTTGTATATTGGTTCCCAATCTGGAAAATGTTAAAAAAATTCCCTTTTGAATTTAAAAACAAAACAAAACAGATCCTTGCCCCCACCCCAAACAGTGCATTCTCCTCTTACCTCATCAAGCTCCTGAGTGATATGAGATATCTTAAAGGGCCAGGCACAGTGACTCATATGTATAATCCCAGTACTTTGGAACACTGCAAGGCAGGAGGGTCACTTGAACCCAGGAGTTCGAGGCTGCAGTGAGCTATGCCTGTGTCACTGTGCTCTAGCCTGGGTGACAGAGCGAGACACTGTCTCTCTTTCTCTTTTTTTTTGAAAAGGTGGGGTTTTGGCATGTTTCCCAGGCTGATCTTGAACTCCTGGGCTCAAGTGATCCACCCACCTCTAAAAGTGCTGGGATTAGCATGAGCCACCGTGCCTGGCTAAGACACTGTCTCTTAAAAACAAAAAAGGTCTTAAAATTCTGTCCTTCTAACTGTACATTTTAAGGTTATTTGTATCTTATACACTTGCTGTTGTGGCTTTGAATAGGTCACTATGAACATTGATCCAATGAGTGATTTTAGCCTATCAAGTCATTCTTATGACTCCATAAATACTAGCTTCAGCTTCTTGTATACTATTGCCTCTGAGCTATTGTAGATAGAGCTTTGAAACCTCTCTCCAGCCCCAGTTTTCGCTGTCAGGACCACAGCGAGGTTCTCCAGCAAGTGGCTTGAACCCTAAGGGCTCCTTCCCTCTACTCTGGCTTCACATAGACCTTCAAGCATAATAAACCAGTTCCAGATAATGTGGAATAGTAAAAGTATTACAGGATACTAAAATTCCTTTTTTCTTTTATTTTGAGACACAGTATGTATAAAAAAGGTATTAACATGTGTAACTTATGAGTAATAGGAAATGCACAAATAGCCACCATCCAGGTCAAGAAATAAAACATTGCAGCACTGCAGAGCACACTCTCGTCCCATCCCACTAAAGGTAACTACTGTCCTGACTTATGATCATTATTTCACCAGGCCCCTTTTCAAACAGCCTGTCCTCACGTTAATAGTGGGGAGGGGCGGCTGGGTGCGGTGGCTCACGCCTGTAATCCCAGCACTTTGGGAGGCCGAGGCGGGCGGATGATGAGGTCAGGAGATCAAGACCATCCTGGGTAACACGGTGAAACCCCATCTGTACTAAAAATACAAAAAATTAAATGGGCGTGGTGGCGGGCATCTGTAGTCCCAGCTACTCGGGAGGCTGAGGCAGGAGAATGGCGTGAACCCAGGAGGTGGAGCTTTCAGTGAGCCGAGATCGCGCCACTGCACTCTAGCTTGGACGACAGAGCAAGACTGTGTCTCAAAAAAAAAAAAAAAAAAAAAGTGGAGAGGGGCAAAAAGAGCCCACGTGTGTCATGATAAGAAGCTAACCAAGGTCAGTTTCTCCATAGTAATTTCTAGACCTCATAATTGGTTTGAAAAGTCTTCTGAGGCCATAATTGCCCTGTGAGAATCTAGTCTGGATTCCTGATGCTGAATCTGATTAATTATTCTAAGACTATAAAGTATCTTATTTCTGTAAAGATTTTTCCTCCAGATACTCCAAATTGGATCTCCTTTGTTTTTATACCCTAAACCCTAAGCAGTTTTTGTAGGCTGGTCAGCAGGAAATTCTTGAGTATCATGTATGTGTAGTAGTATTAAAAATGACTCAGCACTAAAATGTCTCAAAAATTGTGGAATAGGCTAGTATTTCTAACTCAGAATACTGAGTCTGCACACCACCTAACAGCTATCCCAAAGTTATTGGTGAGCTTAGTTTTTTTTGTTTTTGTTTTTTAGCTTTTATTTGGAGTACAGGAGGGTGGATTTAGAGATCTGCAGGTCATGTTGACCTTGGTTTGTATCCAATAGAGTGGTGCTGCCTAGAGTTCAGATATACCTTGTTATAAATATCCCTTTTTTCCCCTCCCGGATTTAGTTTGCTTTAATTTTGCTCATATAAGGACATTTTATGATAGCCACAGCAGGGACCTGGTTCTCTGGAGTGAATTCAGGTGTGGTCTCTATAAGATGGGCAGTTAATTCCTGGAAGGAGATGTGGAGAACACAGTCTCTTTCCAGAAGTCAAGGAATGATACCTGTAGGTTTTTCAATATGGTATCAGAGGTGGCTTTAGCACAGTTGTTCAGGCTGTCGATATAGCCCTGACTTGTCAATACTAGCCAGCAGCAGCTTCTTAACCATGGGATAGTGGCAATGTTGGTACCTCTAGGGATAGGGATCAGACACACCAGCACAGAATCATAGCATCCAGTCACCTTGCAAGAACAGAGTGGGACTCCCCATCTAGTTCCCCTTGTAGCCTCCCTTCAGGGAGATGATGGATAGTTTATCCAGATGAGGCCTGTGTTGCTATTTCCCTGGAATACCCAATAATAAGCAGGCCACCATGGCTTTTGTAGTCTGTGATGGCTGTGAATGCCTGAGACCAGGTTCACCTGGCAAACCAGGCAAATTTCCAAGTGAGGTTTTAGGAGTTCATCTTTTAGGTATGACTCTAGGAAGAAGTCAGTCTTGGAGGTAGGAGAGGAGGCTTCTTTATAAACCTCATTATGTCCTCTACCAGATGGTCCATCCTGTTGACAGGAATTTACTTGTATCCTATGTTTCTGACTCTAGGGGCCCTGGGCCTCCAGCACTCCTTGCAGGATAGGCATCTCGTGTCACTGGGTGTTTTCTCGAAGAAGGTACCGTTGGACACGTTTGCATCAAGTTTGCAAAATGGGACCCTCAAAGGATAGAAAACCATGAATTGATGGGCTTGAATTTTTTTTGTTTTTTTGTTTTGTTGTTTGTTTTTTTTGAGACAGAGTCTCACTTGGTCACCCAGGCTCGAGTGCAGTGGGATGATCTCAGAGCTCACCGTAACCTTCACCTCCCAGGTTCAAGCTATTCTCCTGCCTCAGCCTCCCGAATAACAGGTGTGTGCCACCATGTCTGGCTAATTTTTGTGTTTTTAGTAGAGACGGGGTTTCACCATGTTGGCCAGACTGGTCTTGAACTCCTGACCTCAGGTATTCCGCCTGCCTCGGCCTCCCAAAGTGCTGGGATCACAAGCATGAGCCATGGGGCCCAGCCAAATGTTCATATTTTTATTTTTAACTCCCGTGGTTCAACTTTGGGCAAGACAACCTTCTTTCAGTATCAGTTTCCTGACCTGCAAAATGATGCTATTAACCAATTAAGAAAATCGACTAATAACTTAAGAGTTCTTGGGAAAAAAGTTTTCCTATATATAGTATGTGTGTTACCATGCTGACTGTGACTTAGGGCCCTGGTAGTTTCTGTAGCAGGAGGCTGTATGGGTCTGGGGGCAGTTGAGAATGCTAGAGTCGATGACTGGTGTGGAAATTCCCAGGGGGTGGTGACTCTGTTTTTCACCTTGCCGTGTCCAGGCAGGCCAGAGAGAATGAGTACTCAAGACACCTGGCCCAAACATTCATGAAGAAGACACCAAGTCAGAAGAGACTTCCTCCTTTGCATGATCCTGTAAGGACGGAAGAGGTATTTGAGGGAGCTGTATCTCAATCCTATGTCATGTGGTAGGAACCTTGACTTCCTTTAATTCACCTGATTACTGAATCATGATAATAGCTACCATTTTTTTTTTTTTTTTTTAGCTCTTCCCATATGCTAGGAGCTTTAGTATTTATTGTCTCATTCACAACAACCCTGCAAGGTATGTCTTGTTTTCTCCATTTTACACAAAACACAGTTGAGGCACACAGAGGATAAGTAACTGCCAAGGTTTCTTAGCTGGCAAGTGGTAGAGCTGTATTTGAACATGGGTCTGTTTCGTGTCGAAGCCCAAACTCCACATTTCTGGTTTGTCTCTAGCAGATTAGTTTAGACTAAGAAACAGCCCAGGCACTGGGCCACTGTGCTCGCTGACTCTGCCTTGTTCACTTGGTGATGCTGTGTGTGACAGATTAACACTTTATACCTTGGCTTACCTATCAGTCACTTGGGGATTTGGGATTTATGGGAAAAGGCCCTACTCATGCAGGGTAGAGAGATTTTAAGAGATACAGCTATTAGTAATGGCTTTAGAATCTTTTGCATGTAGAAAGTTCCTTAGACTACCAACTAATGAGCAAAGTGACTTCCAAGTTTAAGTGAATTCTATATAAAGAATACAAGACACCCTTGAGGATATAACTGAGGAAAAAGGCCCTGAAATTTTAGTATCCTTGCTTTGGTGGAAACTCAATAGGTATCAAATGAAATAATGAGGTCAGATATGTTACATAATACCCTGATGTTTATCTCTGGTAATTAAGTCTGCAGAAAAAGACTTATTGGAATAAATCTTTTGTCTCTAAACTCTGCTCATATGAAATAGCACCATTTGGCAAAGGCCAAATTCCTGGTGGATATCTCACTGAGGAAGCAAACATTTTCAAGAATGCCAGAGTTAAAGGGAGACAACACACACCCTAAACAAGACTGTGAAGATACTATGAAACTATTCTGTTGAAACCATAAGCATAGTATCTTTTCCAGGGTGAGGGGGTTTCTGTAACTCTCTTGAGTGAAGTCGCTCTTTCTGCAACCCCCCACTTCACCTGCATTATGGATTTGCACATAAAGGAGTTTTTCTGAATCTTCCCTTCTTCTACAGACCAACAATGTTTCCTCTCTCCTCAGAACTCCCACTTGAGGGAGTTGCCAAGACATTCCTCTGTTTGCCCATTAGCAGAGTCAGGGATATCAGAGTATTTGCAAGCCAGCTAGAGAGCCTTTGATGGCTTTTATGTTATGTTGAAAACAAAATGTTGTGTTATTGTGCAAGAGGAAGATTATGTGTGTGTCATCATTTTGTGCTTGGTCTCCTACGTCCAATCCTGCTCTAAGTTGTCATTTCATTTCCTAACCTCCTCCCCTCCCAGTCAGGTATTTCTGTTCCATCCCTGGGTTTGTAGCCTCCCTTTTTTTTTCTTGAGTTCTGTGCAGCTCTGCATTTCAGCAGACGTTTCCTATGTATCAAGCACTGTGCGGGGAGCTAGGGACACACAAGGTAGAATGTGATCCTGGCCTCTGAGAAGCTTACAATCTTGGGAGACAGATATAAACAATCTATTTTCCTTAGAGTTTCCTTCTCCTGAAGCTTGGGCACCCAAACCCATCACCACTGTCCCCCCCTTCAATAGTTTCTCCTGTTTACTTGGTGGGGAGCATTTCTTTATGTATTTGGAGACTTTCTATATTATAGAGTTGCTGTTGCTACAAGTGAAATTAGTCTAGCTTCCTACAGAGAGGGAAGTTACTCTCTCCCTGTTGATTTTCAGAGAAGAAAGAACCCTTGTAAAGATAGATTCCAAACCAAGAGACCCAAGGAGCAAGCGCATTATTGTGCCATAAATAGGCCATCACTTGGGCAGGTCCTGGGACAGCCTGGGAAAGGGGACTCGGTAATCTTAGGGCCCACTCTCCCTTTAATCTGCTCTCCCAGACAAAGCAGACCGGAAGTGTTGACTTTGGCAATAGGGAACTGGCCAATAGCCTGCAGCTCAGTGAATGAAATTAGAATCTTGAGTGGATGGGGAGAGGGAGGTATCTCCAACACTAATAGCAATCAAAGGGTTTGTGCTATGGTTATAATCAGTGTGGCAGAGGAAAGTCAAAGGAATACCATTTCCAATAAACTCAGAGGCGTGAAAAGGCAAATCAATTTTATGAACACCCATGAAATTGGTTGGTTGTGACCACTATGGGTGGAAACACTGAGCTTCAGTGGAATTTCCCTTAATATTAAACCAGGAAACTAGAGTCCCTGGTTATCTCTCTGTCGTATACAGCAGCTGACATCTATTCCTCCTGGGGATTGGGCAGATCTTAAAGTTGATGTCCTAAGCTTCTGACTGGGATCACAGCTCTGGATAGGGGTTGGGTCAGGCCATCGCCTTTAGAAAACCAGTTATTTAGCCTCTCTTTCCAATGGGATTTCTCTGAAACCTTGTTCATGATGATGCCAACTTGTGTCTCCTTGAAAAATCAAAACAATGGAATTAAACTTGGGTGTTCTCCTATAGATCTAGCATTTTATGTCACAGTCAGGGTAGACAAATGTGCTGTTGGCTCCTGGCAGGCTCATGTGCAGCTCTGGAGATGTTCTAAAGTGGGTGCAGTCAACAGCCACCCATCTGCATACTCCGCAGTGGTCTGGTTTAACAATTCTGACCTATCATCCCTCTAAACCTTGAAAACTCTGTGGTCTTGGCGTCCAAGCCATGTCTTCCAGTAGACTCTCACACCCAGAATCAGCAAAACCTCTTTTGTCAGACCATATCTTGAGTTTAGGCTTCAAAAAAATGGCATCGTGGGTTAGCTTTGTGGGGCGGGGTGAGTAAAACTCCAGTCCTGACTTTTAGGGGTATGGCTGGTCTTGGGGGCTTGGCATGGTGGGAAGAAGGGGCCAAGATAGTGGTTGGCATGAGGATATGGAGAACTTTGGAAGCAGAGCCAGAGACTCTGAGGATTGAGGCCCAGGAAAGTTTGGCACGAGTAACAGCTGGGTATTTAACCAGGAACAGTCACTCTATTTTTCTGAGCCTTGGCGGTATGTCAGAGCAACAAGCAGCTCTAGCAGGGTCTACGTCCTTCCTATTGTCTCCACCCCAACCTCACTCATCGTCCCAAACATCTGCTTCCAATTCGGGCCCTTGCCTTCTTGTCTGATTCCTGTACAAACCGCGGGTGGCACGGGTGAGGGGCAGGTCTGCAGGTGTGGACTGGGGAAGAAGAGGAAGGCTCTGGAAGAAGCTGCTTACAGGTTTAGTTTCAGGTCCTGATGAAGGAGTAAGGATTTGATCTATTAAAAAATTTTATATTTGTGTGTGTGTGTGTATACAAAATGTAAACAGTAAGTTGTTTCACTTCCTGGGTAAAAGTAACAATCTGAGGGAGGGAATTGGGACCAGCTGGAGAAGTCTCTGCGCCATCACATGGCCTGCTTTTCAAAGGCAGCACAGAGTCACTCCAGAGGCAGCAAACTGAAGTGATTAGTGCCCACAAGGAGCAGCCGAAGGTGCTAATGAGGTATTAACACCGCTTCTCCAGCTAGCAGCTGTGGATACTCCGAACAGACCAGTGAGGCAGAGCAGCAAAAGCAGCCTGGAACTGGAGGCGGCCAGGAGAGGAGCAGCAAGCCGGTGCCCACAGTCAGCCACGGCACCCTCAGCAGGCCCATTAGGAGGAATTGAGAAGCTTCTCCAGTGTTTGCCCTAAAATCTCAATCCATTTTAAGTGACAGAAAGTGACAAAAAACACCCCAGAGGAAAATACTGGGGCCTAAGGGAGTAATCTCAGAACTCTTGTAATAATAATAATAATAGCAGCCAACATCTAATACATGCTTACTCTGTGCCAGGCCCTATTCTAAGCACTTTGTCTGTGTTAATTCATTTAATATTCACATCATTCTATAAGCTGAAGACAATCATTATTCCCATTTTACAGATGAGGAAACTGAAGTACAGAGAAGTAAGTTGCGCAGGATTACATGTCCAGTGGATGGATGTAGGTGTCAAATTGGCTCTGACACGTTTTCTCACACAAGCCCAAAGGAGGTGGAGTTAGGGGCAGGACAGACAAGTCTGGAGAACACTGGTAAGAGAGTTGCTAGTGTTCTGTTCATCCTCTAACCCAGGGAGACATTGTGTAGGTCTGTGACTTCTGGGACCCCAGGGAGCCAGTCTGGCCGGCACTTCTTTGTCCAGTCCTGCTGCCTGGTGCCTCCTGAGGTTTCTGTTTCCCAATCAGGGTACGGGTTCCATTCTCCACCTCCCTCTCCAGGGCAGGAGGCACCCTCCATCCCTCAATCCAAATAAGCTGGGAGAGATGCCTCAGGGAGTTGGCCAGGCTCCAGGCCCCTGATGGGAAGTGGAAGAAGACACTTACTAAAGGGCAAGATCTGGCCAAGACCTGTGGGCTACCAGGATCCCCATTAAACTTCAAAGCTGAGCGCTGAGGCCGAGCCCATCATTTGACTGGCAACTCAGGAGCTGGTTGGACAGACCAGCTCACCGTGGCGGGCCTCTGTCTTGCAGAGAAGCAACCGTGTGGATAGTGACAGGCCACAGGCCTCTTCCAGCTGTTGCTTCCAGGGCTGAGCCAGAGGCCACTTTCCATGGGCACAGCCCATTTTTACTAAGATGAAAGGTTCTAGGAGGCTTACCTGACCAGGCCAGAGGCCCAAGGACGGTGGCTGTGAAGCACCACCAGCTCTCAGTGAACGTGGTCTGAACCATCTCAGCTCGTTCCTGCCTTTGTTCCTTTACTTGTTCTGTGCACTCTGCAAGGAATGAGGCCCATCCCGTCCTTCCTCCCTGCTACCTCCCCATCCTTCAAACCTGGCTCGTGCCAGAGGATATGAGGATTAAATAAGAGAACTCATGAAAAGTGCCGGTACTGTGTCTGACACTAAGTGTAAAAAAAAAAATTAGTAGTTAGCAATAGTAAACCACTATCCACAGTTGTCTTTGGTTATGTTGTGGATTTGAATTTGGAAGATCTGGGTTCAAATTTCTGACTTGCCACTGCCTAGGTGTATACTCTGCATAAATTGCTTAGTCGCTCTTAACTTTAACTGGGAAATAGTGATTCTAACAACGTACAAGTGTACCCGACAGAGGGCACGTAAAGCTTAAATGAGACAATGGATGTGAATAGTGTTTTGTAAATCACAAAACATCCTCTTAATTCCAACATTGCCTCTCCCACGTCCACTGGTACTGACCTTGGCCTGACCTGGGTATAGCTAAATTCCTTTGCTCTTCCATTCAGCAAAGACAAACCAAGAATTTTTTCAGAAGAAACTTTGGTTTAAAAAATTAAAGGACTAAACTAAAGGAAAATGCAAAAGAAGAGGAGTGATTGGGCTTTTGGAATACTGATGTCTCCTGCTACTAAGTCCAACCTCAGGGGCCAAACTCACTGTCAGTTATGGCCATAGTTACCATTTGCTCTCCCTCCTCAGTCTTGCCAGGGTCTTCCTGACATGGATTCAGAGTTGAAGGGCACTGAGGAAATGAAGAGCCCAGAACAATTCTGAGCCACCCTCCTCCCTTACACACACACCCAGGATGTGGCTAAAACTTACAGACCTTAAAATATTATGTGCCCAAGCCTCACAGCAAGTCCAGCTACCAGAGGCCAGTTTCCTGAGAAGCTAATGAGGCTTACATTGAGGGCCGCTCACCTACAGGAGTTCCTTCCAAGGTCATATTTTTTTTCAAAGTCATAGTATTTGCTAAGGTAAAAACAACAAACAAACAAAAAAAACCAAAAAACTATAGCTAGGTGTGGTGGTATGCACCTGTAGTCTCAGCACTTGGGAGGCTGAGGCAGGTGGATCAATTGAGCCCAGGAGTTTGAGAGAGTAGTGCACTATGATCACACCTGTGAATAGCCACCACACTCCAGCCTGGGCAACATAGCAAGACCCTGTCTCCTCCCAAAAAAATTTAACTGTAGTCAGTCTCCACCCTGATTTCTTATCTGTCACACCTCCCTTCATGTCAGGCTGTGGTGAGGTGGCTGTGGCATTTGGGAGTATGACTAAAGGAATTTGAGTTGGGAATATACTCAGTTGGGCCTTCTGTAATATATTCATTTGGTTATGTTGGGAAAACACTCCGTTGGGTTGTATGTAATATGTGTATGTCATGTAGTATATTTATTGCTAACTGTCCTGATTATAAATGGCTTGTAGAAATAATTCCACCATACACTGTGCTGATTCACCTGACACAGTGGCAGGTGCAGGATCAGCAGCTGTCACATTGGGACCAGAAGTATGAAGACAGGAGAGGAAAAACAAGAGTTGAAATGTATGGAGCCAGGTGGGGTGTGGTGGCTCCCGCCTATAATCCCAGCACTTTGGGAGGATGAGGTGGGCAGATCACTTGAGCCCAGGAGTTCGAGACCAGCCTGGGCAACATGGTGAAACCCTGTCTTTACAAAAAATACAAAAATTAGACGGGCATGGTGGCAGGCGCCTGTAATCCCAGCTACTCATGAGGCTGAGGTGGGAGGATCACCTGTCACCTGAGCTTGGGAGGTTGAGGCTGCAGTGAGCCGTGCTTGTGCCACTGCACTCCAGCCTGGGTGACAGAGTGAGACCCTGTATATTAAAAAGAAAAGTATGGAGCTAGAAGCTAGTCTGTGAAAAAGCCTCTCAGTCCTCAGATGCTCAAAACCTACCGAGGTCTTCTGTTGCCTAAAGCTTACATAATTTTGGGATCCCTTTAAAAAAAAAAAAGAATACAAAATTAAATATGAAGGAAAATTTTGAAATAAGAAAAAAAAATCACAACAAATCCTAAAACTTAAAAAGCTGGCAAATACCACAAACATCATAAAGTCTAGACAAATAATCCAGACCTGCATCTTGGATGTGCCCTGTTGGCCGCCTGTGTGCCTGCCTCACCAGTCCACCATTTCATGGGAAGAGAGACGCTAAAGAATCATCTTCAGGATGACTGGAGTTTCCAGGAATAGAGAAGAATAACAATAATGAAATATGAATTTTATGCCCTTTTTTTGGCCTCCCTGTGCAGGTTCCTGGAGGGAGTACACAGTCCCGAAGGCAGCAGCTCAGACAGTTTCCTGAGTTGAGAGCCGAGAACTACATGCCAGGGGCCATCCAGGGTTCCTATGGTGCTGGCCTTTGCCATGTTCAAATACAAGGAGCACAGATTTCCTGAGTTAGAAGGCTATCTTGTTGTGACTAATTCCTTAGAAACTTGGGAGGACTTGCCTTGGCCCAAGGGCAGCTCTGCAGGAAGACAGGGTCACACAGCTTAGGAGACACCTCCTAATGTTTAGCATTTCCCAGTGTCTTAAGATGTTTTCCCCAAAAGCAGACCCAGCAAACAAGGGTTTGTGTGAAAGTGGTGATTTTTTCCCAAATCTTCCCAGGAGTAGGGGAAGGGGACTGAAAAGAGGAGGCCAAGCAAGGATACAATGTCAAGCAAAAGGCCACGAAGGGTAAGTGGCTCAGTCTGCAAGAGCTCTGGAGATGGAGGAGATATTTCTACCTCCACACTCAGAGTCACTGGTCAGGGGCTGCCTGTAGGGGCTCAGGGACGAAACCTCCCCGGCACTGGCCTGCCCTCCATGCAGGTGGCCAGAGCAGGTTCCAACAGCCTGAGGGCAGCCCGCTGACAAACAGGCAGGTGTGGGCTGTTGGGAGTGAACCATGTGTCCTGAAGTGATACGGGGATCGGAAGACATGGGGGCAGAGTGCTGACTGCGTCTGCTATCCTCCTGCCCTGTCTGCTCCTAACTGCTTTGGTTGTATGGTCCTCATTAGTGGCTTGTTATGACTAGGAGTTATCCTGTATTGATTATCTCATTGAATCCTCAAAGTAGCGCTGTTAGCACCCCCATTTTATGGGTGAAGAAACTGAAGCCCAGAGGCAGCTGCTGAGACCTGCCTGAGATCTCCCTCAGCTGCAAGCTGCTCTCTTCAGTCTTCCTGAAAGTTATTCCAGGTCTCAGCACCCTGTTTGTTTCTTGCACGAGCAGAGGCTCCCTGTCTGGTTTGTTCGCCATTCACACTCACTGCCTAACACAGCCTCAGGCATGTGTGAAAAAGATGCTCAATGCATAAAGGAACCTAGAACCAAGAGCTTAGCCTCCACACTAAATGCCAAGCCTCCTGGGATCATGCCTTACGGTATGGTGCCACAGTGATACCCCCTCAGTGCCGCCCAGTGCTGGGGACCGCAAGGTGCCTGTGGATCCTGGAATGAGTGCCTGCTGGGAAGGGAAAGCCCCTAAGCAGAGACTCGAGAGTGCCAGGGAGATGGGTCCCAGCTGCATTCCGACAGCAGCCTCCTCCATATCGGCAGAAGCGTTTGTGAAATTGTCCTCTAAATGATTCCAGTCTCCTGGGAATGGCAACATTCTATTTTTGGATGGTTTTTGGTGTGTCCCTCAAGTCCCCCCTAAAAGTTGTATAGCATTCACAGCCTGTGTACAAGTTTAGAATTAATTTGTGAGATTGCTAGTGGCCTCTGGAATGTGCCACAAATGGTCCCAAAATCCTGCCTGAGAGCTCAGAGAGCTGTGGACAGACCCAAAAAGGAAAATAAGACAACTGGATATAGAGCCCGTATCAATTGGATAAAGTATTTAGACTGTATACAAGCCAAAGAAAAAGCACATTTGCCTTTGGAGGCTGTCTGGGGCCCTGCAGGGGTTGAAAGGGAAGGGCTGCTCCTAGCTCTCTGGAGAGCAGTGGAGGATACAAAACATGCTCCATCCTGTCCTGCCTAGCCTTCACCTGGGCCCGTGTCCTTGGGGGTAATTGTGACCATGGTACCCAGCTGTGCTGCCTCTTCCTGGTGCTGGAGAGGGCTGGCTCCAGGCCAGGAAGGAGAGAAGGCCACACTGAATGAAACCTAAAGCTGGGTAGGGGCTGGGGCAGAGCTGCTCTTGCAGGCTTGGGAGCTCCAGGCTGGTTGCCACCTGCCCTCCCCAACTCAAACTAAATATCCAGCCCTGTGGGTAAGTGAGCAGTTCTTGGCCTCATCCTGCCCAGGCGTCTCTGGCTTGAAATCGCCTTCCTTCATGAAACTGGGGCTGCCGTCTGCCCTTGGACTGTTCTTCCCGTTCTTCACCCCAGGGGTTCAAGCTGATTGGCAGACTTATCCAAGCATGAAGGGTAGGGGCACTGGCCTTGGGCAGCAGCCAGGAAGAGGGAGGGAGGGAGAGGCACAGACCAAGGACAGACATGGAGTCAGAGAACGCCTGAGAGCAAGAGACAGTAAGACAGGCAGTGGTATGAAGACAGAGGGAGAGGGAGGCAGGGAGAGGAGGCATATCCTCCAAGAATGCAGAAGGAGTGCTTCATTGCCTAGAGGGAGGGGGAAGAAGGAGAAGGTGACAGCTGAGCAGACTGGGCTCTTAGCTGGGGCTCCCACAGTGTCTGAGCTGCCTCACCCATCTGCATTTTTCAGTGGAAGGCATGTGTTCTCCAAGGTGGGCCTTAGGTGCTGGAGCGGGGGCTTTCAACATCCCCACATCTGCTTCCCATCTGCATCCCCACTCATGGCGGATTTATATCCCAAGGCTTTCTCGCCAGAGCCACAATCCATTCAAAACAAACCGTGGTTTTTCATTTGTAGCTGCAAATCCATGGAGTCATCTTCAGCTCTCTTGGGTTGCCTGAGGCCCCACAGGGCTCCCGGCAGTGCCAGTGTGGATTCAGGATGGAGAGTCAATGGCAGAGGAAGGAGAAGGGAGTCGGGGGGGAAGAAAGAGGCCCTCTGCCTGTGACCTGCAGAGAACTTGAGTCCTTGCTGAAGGGCTTTGGGAGGCACCCCAAGTCCACTGGATCTCCCAGGTCCTTCCCCCGAGGCTGCACCTGGCGTGCTGTCGGCATGGCCAATTGGTCCTTTCTGTATCTGGGAAGTGGGGTGCTGAGGCAGAGCCACAACCGGCCATGTCATTGCAAGATGTGCAATGGCCTTGAAAATGGCGTTTGTATGTTTTTTTTATGTTTATGTTTTTTTTTTTTTCTTAGACTGAGTCTCGCTCTGTCACCCAGGCTGGAGTGCAGTGGCATGATCTCGGCTCACTGCAACCTCTACCTCCTGGGTTCAAGCAATTCTTCTGCCTCAGCCTGCCGAGTAGCCGGGATTACAGGCACGTGCCACCATACCCGGGTAATTTTTTATATTTTTGGTAGAGATGGGGTTTTACTATCTTGGCCAGGCTGGTCTCAAACTCCTGACCTCAAGTGATCCACGCCCCCCTTGGCCTCCCAAAGTGCTGGGATTACAGGCGTGAGCCACCGCACCCGGCCATGTGTTTTTAAAAAAAGTTTTAAAAAGCTAATAAATGGGTTCGATAAAACAACCCAGGCCCAAACTCCAGTTTTTTATGTAAACACAAGGCTTAGAGACTTGACAACATCTGTCTCCCTCCTGCCATTCTGCCATGGTGAGTGCCCCATCTTCCCTTCCCTGGGCTCAGGACCTATCCCCTCCAGGGTTTTTTTGACCCTTCTGCCACTCCGTCCCAGGCCTTTCACTGCCTCTCCTCATTAGTCTATTCATTTATTTATTCATTCACTTACTATTTTCAGCACCCATTCAATAATTCATTTATTCAACCACTCATTTCTTCATTCAGTGTTTATTGAGCACTGTGCTAGGCTTACAGCAAATAAGAGGCAAATCTTCTAGTGAATGAAAGATAGCTTGAGGGGAGAGAACAGCACAAGCAACGTCGTGAGTCAATGTATAATTAAGGGGCTTACGCAGTACATTCCCTAGGATTTTGGAAAAGAGAAATGGAAATCTTCCCAAAGGAAGTGGGAGTTTGGTGTCTCCCCGTCTGCTCTGAGGACATGGCTCTCTAACAGAACATAGAGGTGGGAGAACTCGAACATCCTTGATTCTGCCCTGAAGCCGCTCAGGCCTGGAGTTACAGGAAGACATGAGAGGCAGGAGATTAGGTAATAAAAAGGGGACCCTCCGCAGTGTGAGCTTCGGTGGGACTCCTGAGGTTGGGGGTAGCATTCTGCTGGCCATCTGAAACCACGCATCAGCCCCTCAGGCCTCTGGAGAGGAGGAGGCCAGACCACGAGGCGAAACAGAGCTGGGGATTCAGCCAGACTTGCCTGGGAAGAAGAGGCTTGGGCAGAAGAATATGGGAGGGAAGCCAGGTGAGCAAGAGGGAGAGGCTCCAGCTCTGTGGAGGACGGGGCAGGAATCTCCTTGAGAGGAAGTAAGGGGGTGGCCCGAGGTGGGCAGTGGGGTGGTGGTGGTGTGTATGTTAGGGGAAGGCAGGAAACTGAGAAGTACTAGAGCAAGACCAGGGGCTCAGGACACAGGCACAGTGGGGGAATCAGGACAAGCTCCTGCTTCCTGCTCAGCTGTCAGCTTTCTGAGGGATTGAAGTAAGCTCAGAACTCTCTCAGTAACAAGTAGTAGAAGGGAATTGACTGTCTCGTGTAACTGAGAAGTCAAGCCTGGGATGAACTTCGGCCCATTCTTGATTCAGGGGCTTGTACAACCCATCAGGACTTTCCCCTCCACTCCCGGCTCTGCCTTCAGGGGTGTTGGCTTTATTCTCAAGCCGCAAGCTCTTAGCTCACTGGTTTTACCATGAAAAGCCCCAGCTGCAAAATTCTCTCTAGTGCTGATTAGGTCTTGTGTCCTTGCCTGAACCAATCACTGTGGCTAGGGCAATACAGTTATTTGATTGACCAACGCATGAATCACATGATACCAGGGTGTGGGTCTACAGAGGAAAATGGATACTTATGTCAAGAGGGGTGAATGGTTTTGCTAGATGACAAAAATGCAGCTGTTCCTGTCCCCCTCTACTGTCTTAAAAAGTAGTGTAGTCTGTGGCCGGGCACATTGGCTCACGCCTGTAATCCCAGCACTTTGGGAGGCTGAGGCGGGCGGATCATGAGGTCAGGAGATTGAGACCATCCTGGCTAACATGGTGAAACCCCTTCTCTACTAAAAATACAAAAAAAAAATTAGCTGGGCATGGTGGCGGGCACATGTAGTCCCAGCTACTTGGGAGGCTGAGGCAGGAGAATGGTGTGAACCCAGGAGGTAGAGCTTGCAGTGAGCCAAGATGGCACCACTGCACTCCATCCTGGGCAACAGAGTGAGACTCCATCTCAAAAAAAAAAAAAAAAGTAGTGTAGTCTGTTATTTGGTTAGATTATTTTTATTCCAGAAGAATGTATGCTCTGTGAGAGCAGTGATGTCACTTTCGTTCACTGCTGAGATCCCAGGACTCGCAACAGTGTGTACTATGATGTAGATGCTTAATAAGCAATTGCTGAATGAATTTAGCAGGATGAGCTAATTGCTGGAAATATCAGACTCCTAACTAATGGTTATTAAATGTTTACATGTATCACGGGCTGTTCTAAGCAATCTGTATATGTAAACTCAGTAATTACACAAATCCATGGCCAGGACTGTCATTATCACCTGCACTTTACTGATGGGGAAACTGAGGCATGAGGTGGTTACACAGTAAGTGGCTATAAGGATTTAGACCAAGGCATCTGGCTCCAGCACAGCCACTCTTAAGCACTATCTCATACTGCTTGGTAGATGTGCCAAGTCCATGAGTCGGACTTTCAGGGCAAGCCAATTTTCCAGCCTACAGTTTCCACGGATACAGTTTCCTTTGTCTTTAGGTTAAAAGTTTCTCCAGCTTTACTCGAGGCTCACAGAACAGTGGAGGTGAGTGATTCTGTTGCTTTTTGTTTGTTATTATTTTTTAAATACAGGGTCTTGCTCTGTCGCCTGGGTTGGAGTGCAATGGCATGATCTTGGCTCACTGCAACCTCCGCCTCCAGGGCTCAAGCGATTCTCCTGCCTCAGCCTCCTGAGTAGCTGGGACTACAGGTGCGTGCCACCACACCCAGCTATTTATTTATTTATTTATTTATTTATTTATTTATTTATTTATTTTTAGTAGAGATGGGGTTTCACTATGTTGGCAAGGCCGGTCTTGAACTCCTGACCTCAGGTGATCCACCAGCCTCAGCCTCTCAAACTGCTGGGATTACAGGTGTGAGCCACCATGTCCAGCTGGAGGTGAGTGATTCTATGGGGCATCTGAACATGCGTTCTTCCTCCCAGCTGAGAATTGAATTAAATACAGCTTCTTAGTTGGGGAATCACAGGAAGGCTGAGTTTATACATACAGCCTATTTTTTCATTCTCCCATTCATTCATTCAAACTATATGGAACAAGATGAGTCTGAAACATCTTGTGGTACCAGGGAATAAGGAAGTACTCGGAAAAAGATGGGCATGTTGAAAGGACACAACAGCCAACTTGTAGGAGCTCCCAGTGGCTGGAACGGTTTAAGCAAGAACATAAAATAATGATAACATTGAATTATAACCCCTGGGATACAATAAATACCCGAGAGCCCCTACTGAAATAAGCAATTGAATTAAAAAAATGGGGAAGAAGTAACAACTCTTCTTGGCAGAAGAATTTCAATTAATAAATATAGAAGAAAGGAGGGAAATACAGAATCACCACTATGCAGACACAATAGTAATAATTGTCGGCCAGGAACAAAAATCAAAAACAAAAACAAAGTTGTTGATAAGATCCACCAGTGATGGCCACTCAAATCAGTGGGAGAATCAGGATATTTGCACAGTCTCAAATTATCTTCCCCAATATACTTATTAACTAAAGAGGGAAGTATAGTAGTAATTTTAGAGTGGAGAAACAGTGGAGAAATCCGGCATATATGAGCTTAACTAAGAGATCAAGATTAACATCACCAGGAATAAGATGTGTTGACATTACGTATCCCCTGAGACGATGCCTTGAGGTCACAGCATCACCTCTATTCTGTGTATAACCTCAATCTAATCACAAGAAGACAGCAGACATACCCAAGTTGAAAGATAGACTACAAAATAACTGAGGGGTACTCATTAAAAGAGTCAAGGTCATGAAAGACAAGGATAGACTAGAGAGCTGCCATAGATTAGAGGAGACTAAGGAGACCCAACAACTAAATACCCTGAGCAATCTGAGAGCAGAAAAGGGACATGGGGAAAACAGAGGAAATTAGAAAAGGCCCTGTAGTTTGGTTAATGATACCTATGTTAATTTCCCATGTTAATTTGGTAATTGTACTCTGGTTATGTAAGCTGTTAGTATTAGTGGTTCACATACATCACTGTACTATTTTTGCAACTCTTCTCTAAGTCTATAATTATTTCAAAATGAAATGTTAAAACATGTATTTATTGAGCACCTAATTACCACCAAGCATCTGGGATACAAAAGCTTAGTTGTACAAAGATCACCGTGACAAGGTTCACTCCTGCTTTCAAGTAGCAGTGTTTCTCAAACTTTAATGTGCATTCAAATCACTGGGGTTCTTGTTAATATACAGATTGTGATCTGATATGTCTGTGATGGGCCCCGAGATTCTGTGTTTCTAACAAGCTCCTGGTTGACGCTGATGCTATGGGCCCACGGACCACACATTGAGTAACAATGGCTTGAAGTGCAGTAGGAGAGCAAAACATGCACACACGTGGCCATGATAAAAGAAAGTGAGCTGTGCGGTGACAGCTGAGAACATACGTGACAGGAGCCCCAGACTTCTCACATGGGATCCTGAGCAGAGAGGAATCCTTCAGGCTTTGCGTGCCTTCTGGCCTCAGCCTGGTTCTCGAAAGCGTTGGCCAGTTCTTTCCAGGCTACCTCTGGCTGCAGACTTGCTGGGCCGGGCCAGGCCAGGCTGGGGCTAAGTGTAAAGGGACAGGTGCAGAGTAACTGATGCACTCAGAAATTCCACCAGTGCTTATGAGAGCCAGGCCTGGCCTTGGGGTGCACACATGTTCTCTCTCAGACCTCAGCTGGTCAACACCAGCCCAGCTTTCCCTGGAATGATCCCTCTGACCAGCTCTCAGGCGAGAAATGCTTGTGTGATGTATTGCTCCCCAGGGCTCTCTGGGATCCAAGAATGTACACAAACAGAGCCAGTCAACCCAGACAGTGCATTATTTCTACTGATAAACATATATGTTCTTACAAATATGCTCACAAAATTGCCGAACTATGCTCAGCACCCAACTAGTAGCTTCGGCCACATTCTGCCTAGTGATACCGTTTTGTTCGGATTCTCAGGCCTCCTAAGAGTACCTGTGATGTCCCCTCCCCAGCCAGTCTCAGCTTGGCAAGCTCTCATAACACTCCACCCTCATAGCATCTCAATCCATGCAAAGTCATTCTAGACTTTAAGTCCAGGGAGGCCATACTGTGGGCCGCTGGGACCCGAACAGATAGAATCTTCTCAGTTTAACTCTGCTTCCTGGAAAGGTTTGTAACACATATTCACACAGGGGACTGTGCAGGAAGATGTGCGTGTTCACAAACAGGTAGCAGGTGGCATCTGGGAGTCTGGTTGACAGATTTGTAATCCACAGCCAAGCAAGTGAGCTCTGAAAGATGGGGCCTGGAGAAGGTTGCTGAATCTTTTTTTTTTTTTTTTTTTTTTTTTTTGGCAGAGTCTTGCTCTGTCGCCCAGGCTGGAGTGCAGTGGTGCAATCTCGGTTCACTGCAACCTCTACCTCCCGAATTCAAGTGATTTTCCCACCTCAGCCTCCCACCAAGCAGCTGGTATTACAGGCATGCACCACCACACCCAGCTAAATTTTGTATTTTTAGTAAAGACGGGGTTTCATTATGTTGGCCAGGCTGGTCTCAAACTCAGGTAACCTCAGGTGATGTGCCTGCCTCAGCCTCCCAAAGTGCTGGGATTACAGGTGTGAGCCACCACGCCCAGCCAGTTGCTGAACCTTTAAGGGCACTTGCCACGTGCCAGGTATGTCTCATTTGGCCCTCCCAGACATGCCTTTGGCGGGTGGTGGGCGGGAAGACTCTAACATGGTGTCAGCTGGGAGCCTACCTAGCCTGGAATTTAATTCTTCCCCAGCCCCCAATATTTTTGTGGCTTAAGTGAAGTTGAAGCTTCTCTCTAAGATTTCTGTGAACTCCTACAGACTTGTGGGTCCTTGAGCCCCTCTGCATCCATACCTGCTGGGGCAACCCTGCCATGGTCACAGCAAACCAAACACAACTTCCTCTAAGCAAATCCTGTGATCAGTATGGAGATGGCAGGGAGTTGATCTAATCCTGGCCCTATCCCCAGGGCCTCCCAGGAGATCTGTTGCTGTCCTCCTCCTCTATTTTGATGCTACAGACCCAGTGCAGACCCCACAGGTTCCTGATAAGCTCTGAGTCCTTCCTTGGACTGACAAGTTGGCCAAATGACACTGCTTCAGAGGATAAGCAATCCCTCATGTTCCAAAGATGAGAGCTCTCCTGATGTCCCATTTTTGGGTCCCATGAGACTTCAGGATCATCTTCCAGCCTAAAATTGATGTCTGTTTTGCTTCACTTCTCTTGTCCTTCTTTCAAGTCCAGTAGAGCCCATTCCCTCCAGGAAGCTTCCCCCAACTCCCCCAGCACACAAGGACATCTTCTTTCTTTGACCCTCTGTATCCTATTGTCAAACCCATCACGGGAGGCAGGAGAGGAAAGAGGTTACTGGTGCAGGTTCTGAACTTAGCTGTCTGGGTTCAAATCCCACTCCCGCCATCTGGGTGTTGTGTGACCATAAGCAAATTATTTAGTACTTCCAGGCCTTAGTTTCATTGTCTTTAAAACAGAGGGAGTAACAATAATTCCTATCTCATGGGGTTGTTATAAAGATTAAAAGAGATAATGCGTGTAAAGCTATATAGACTAAAATCTGGCATGCAGTAGCTGCTTAATAAATATTACTTATCAATAGCTATTGATATCAACCATTCAATTAGTACTTAATTTCATACTGCTTTATTCCAAGGGTATCAGGGATGACTTGCTGATGTGAACACAGGAAGAGGTCTCTTAATGATAATTGCAGCAACAACGCATCTCTTGCCAGGCACTGGGTTACGGGCTTACTCACATTATCTCTGGGCTTGAAGAACCATCAGTTAACCAGTGAAATAGTGTGGAAATTGTAGCATGTTATGAGGGTAATTTGGTATTTTTTCTGTTTGTTTGTTGTTGTTGTTGTTTTGTTTTGGTTTTTTGTTTGTTTTTTGAGACAAAGTCTCACTTTGTTGCCCAGGCTGGAATTTAGTGGTGCAATCTCAGCTCACTGCAACCTCCGCCTCCTGGGTTCAAGCAGTTCTCTGCCTCAGCCTCCCGGGTAGCTGGGATTACAAGTGCCCACCACCACACCCGGCTACATTTTTTTGTATTTTTAGTAGAGACGGGGTTTCACCATCTTGGCCAGGCTGGTCTTGGACTCCTGACCTCGTGATCCACCCACCTCAGCCTCCCAAAGTGCTGGGATTATAGGCCTGAGCCACTGTGCCTGGCCATGAGGCGTGTACTTCATTTGAAATGAAGTGCAAGTGCAAATACAGGGTTTTAATTTATTGGGGTGTTTTGGGTTTTGTTTGTTTGTTTTGTTTTGGGCTGTGTAAATGGGGACTAGGAGAACTGGAGGGTACAGATTTGCCAAGGTTTTTTCCAGACTTGTCCAGTAGGAAAAGTGTTCTGATTATTTCCTGAGCAAGATCTGAAAATCTGTCAGATGGAGGATCAGCAGAGCTATCCTGAAAACCTGCCATTTAGGATCTAGGTTGTTCAGTCAAATCTCTCCATTAGACCTAAATGGGGCCTGGAAGCAAGAGGCCTGTCTGGTTGTCAGCTGGTTGTACTCACCATGCCTGTCTCCTTTATTTAAATTGTTAAAAGCAAAGGCAAGCTTGACTCCTAGCTCTCTATTCCTTACAAGCTATGTGACCTGGACAAGTTGCTTAACCTCTCTGAACATCTGTTCCCTTATTTGTGAAATGAGGACAATAATGCTTGTGTAATACTTCAGTCCCCTTGAGGATTAAACAAAATAACATAATCAAGAGCATAGCACAGTGTCTGATACTTGGCACACCAATAGCTATTATTATTTTCCTCATCTTGGGACATGAAAACTGCCTCATAAGCTGCTCTCTTCCCAGAGCATTTGCTTTTTATATTATTTTGTTCCATCCTCTTCTACGTTTCCTAGATAAACTTATTTTGACAAATTCTGCCTTGGCTGAACTTTGGGAAAATGAGCATGTCCATCCCTAGAACAGTGATTGGAGGCTGCCTTTTGAGCTCAGCCACCATGGTGGTAGCTGGAAATCTGGGGAAACTGAGGCAGACAGTGATGCAAAACTGAGGACAGGGCCACTTGGGATGGTGAGAAACAGCTCAGATTTTGTTCTCTTCTCCCTTGGGGGTATTAACCTGTGTTCTTGACTCCCCAACAAATTATAAGCCCCTGAGGCACTCTGCCTCAGTTCCTCTGCCTATAAAATAGGAATAATAATGCTATCAACTTCGTAGGGTTGTTATGGGGATTAAATGAGATAATAAACTTATGTGCTTAGCACCAAAGCTTGGCAAATAGTGTGTGCCCAACAAATACTAGCTTTTACCATTTTATGTGTCCACGAGGCCTAACATCGCTGGGCACACAGTGAGGTTCCCGAATCCTGGACTCCACCCCTCAGAGTTGGTGCTTTTCTGCCCTGACTCCCTGCAGTCCACCTGAGTTCAGCCCCACCTTGTTGATTCCATCGGGAGGTGACATTGAAAACCACAGATGCCATCTGTTGGGGATTCTGAATTGTTTCTGGCCCTTATCAGCAGTGTAAAGGGGGCCAGGTTGCGGACAGCTTAATGAGGAAAACAGGAGCTTAGCGGCTGCCAGAGGGCAACAGAGTGCCGGAGTACCAGCCCTTCCTCTGGAGGAGACACTGTCTGCCCAGGCTCTTGGCTGACGCACGTCGTGAGATCTGACTTCCTCTCTCTGTTTTCTTTTCAATACAGAATAACTTTCCCTACCTCAGGCCCTCACCACCCACTCTCTGGCCCAGCCTCTACCTTGGAAACAGGGTTGAAACATTTGGGAGCTGCCCCATTCATCAGGCATCCCATTTGGATCATTCAACAGTCCCCAGTACTTCCCCACTTCCCCCTTCTCTCTCTCTTGTCCCATGAGGAGTATCCATGGCAAACTCAATAAGACCTAAGATCTTTACCTTCATTTTCTCATTCAATCATTTCTACAGTCCTATGACATAGCTCTTATCCATCCCATTTTTACAGAAGCAGGAGCAGAGTCTCAGAGGTTCAGATCTTTGCCGAAGGTCACACGGCTAGAATAGGGAGCAGCTAGATTTGAATTCAGGCCTTCTGGCACCTGCTCCCTTGTTCCTCTGTACCTGCCTTCCCCTGGGGGAGGATGGCAGGATGGCAAGTGCCCAGTGCTCACAGAGCAGTGTGCTGGATGAGGGGCAGAAGGGAGACGGGGGAAGAAGGGAGGCTACTGTTGCATAGTTTGCCTTAGGACAGCCTTGACTGATGAAACCACCTTCCAGGCTCCAAGAGATTTTTCTCTCCATAGCTGCTCCTGATCTGGCTTAGAGACAATTGCCTCTGCCTTCTTTATCTCTGAAGCCTTCCCCCCAGCCCCACCTACTTGGCTTTTGACTCCTTGCAGGGTTGCAAAGGGGCCTGCAATGCCTGCACTGCCTGTCTCCTGCTTGGGGGGCTCTGGGTTCAGCTGCTGTCTCTAAGCTGGTGGCTGCTTTTGGCTTCTGCTCCAGGAGCTGCAGACGGGCCAGCAGGGGGTCTCCAGAGAGGCCAGACCCTGGAGTTAGTTAAATGAGGACCAGCTGGGTTGAAGCAGGAACGTTTTAGCCTTCCTGAGGCAGACGGAGCCTCAGCCTCAGACCCCTGCCATGCAAGCCCTTTTCCCATCACCCACTCTCTACTCTACTTCTTGGGGCTGAAGTTGTTGATATATTTCAGGCCCTGCCTCCCCAGTCCCTTCCCCCTGCAGCCCTGCTTAGAGGGCCAGCTGACTGCTCTCCCGTCCTGCCTGTCTGCCCTGGTAGTTGCCCTTCAAGCTGGGTAGTAGCTGTAGATATCAGGAGGTGCTGCTGTTCTCCAGGGCTTGGGAAAATATCCTACACTTGACCTTTCCCCCCGGCGGGGAGAGGAATGTTGAGGCCAGAGCTGAGTGGGATCTGCTATCCTGGCAGGCGGCCTGCCTGCGCCTCTGGATGAATGATGGGGATGGGCTAAGAGGGTCAGAGACTCTCCCAGCACAGGCAGAAAAGACTGAGTGCCCCAGACTGGGCCAACCTCTCATCTTTGGGGTCCATTCCCCATGCCAGAGCCCTGGGCTGGCTCTCAAGGCTGTCCCCATCATTCCTGAAACACTGAGCTGTCTGCAGTGTCCTCAGAGTCTGTCACCGCATCACACTCTCTCCAGGGAGGCTGGATTAGCTGCCCAGAGTTAACAGAGAGGGCACTGGGAGGGGGCAATTGTTGATTCTCAGTCTTCACATCTGAAAATGGCAATAGGGCTGGATTTGTGGTTTTCAAGCGGTATTCGGACAAGCCCCAACGTTCCTCCAAGATGCCTCAGAGGCTATAAGGCAAAGGGAAGTATGTGTGTTGGGGTGTTTGGGGAGAGATCAAGGGCGGGCCCCTTTCCAGCCACAGGAGCTCCCCAGTTTCCTGTTCACATCTTGGATCTGACTCCTGAACCCCTGGCAGTCTGGTCCCTGAATCCCTAGCCCCTGCATCCCACACTACTCTGCTTGCCTTGCCTGTGAGTTCCTCCAGCACAAGAGCCTTCCTACCTCCAGGATCTTATGACATCTCCTCCTGACCGTCCTCCTCCATACCTCCTTTCTGAGTTCTGTGCACCCTTCAGATCTCAGCTCCAATGTCATTCCTTTGGGGATACCTTCCCCAAATCCCCTCCCAAGTCTGTATTAGGTCATCTAGCTGCATACGTCTCTTTCTTAGCTCTACTTCAATTGCAGCTCACTGTTGATCTACTTATCTAATTATTTTCCCAGTGTCTGTCTCCTCCACTACACTGTATGCTCACAAGGGCTGGAATCAGGTCTGGATTGCATGCTGCTGTATCCCCTAGCACAGCACCTGGGACAGAGTTGGCATTCAGTAAATATTTGTTGAATGCTGAAACACTGCACAAAGGTTTTGCTCAAAAAAAAAAAAAAAAAAAAGTTGAAAACCGCTGGCCTAGAGGCTCTCTCAGTCAGTCCCCTTCCAATTCCATTTTTTTTTTCTTTGAGACAGTCTCGCTCAGTTGCCCAGGCTGGAGTGCAGTGGTGCGATCTTGGCTCACTGCAACCTCTGCCTCATGGGTTCATGCTATTCTCCTGCCTCAGCCTCCTGAGTAGCTGGGATTACGGGTGTGTGCCACCATGCCTGGTTAATTTTTGTTTTTAGTAGAGATGGGGTTTCACCATGTTGGCCAGGCTGGTCTCGAACTTCTGGTCTCAAGACATCCACTTGCCTTGACCTCCCAAATTGTTGGGATTACAGGCGTGAGCCACCGCGCCCTGCTCCCTTCCAATTCTGCATCCACATCCTTAAAACTTGGATGCAATTACCTTCACCACCAAAATATTTCTGGCCCTCCCCATTAAAACTTTACCTGGCCTTTTCTTAATTTCCATGGTGTTTAGAAGGGAGTGATGTAAACAGTAATGGGAAGAAAAATAAAGGAACTCCAAGAAAGGCAGGGTATTAGCCCCCTCCACCCACTAGAGAAGCAGATGGGGGTGGGGAAGACAGCCATGTGCTGGAAGAAGAGGACAGGGCCCAGCACTCAAACCTCCTCTGAGTCTCAGGGGGTTTGTTTGTCTCAGGACACACCTGTCCCACATCCATTGAGCTGCCTGGCAGGGGAGGAGTTCGCTGCCACTTAGGCTCCAGTGACCATAGCTCTCAGGCCAGCTGTTTCCTTGCCTTTGAATTAGTGGCTGACCCTGTGTTGTCTCCTGCCTGTTCCAAGCAGCCTGGGAGACTTCCAAGCATGTCTTTTACAGGCCAGATGTGTGTCCACTGGCTGTGAATTCTTGTATGGAGAACAGGTGGGTGGTAATTATTCTAGCAGGAGCTGAGCGTGACTGGAAGCTAAGGAGACAATTCTATGGAGCTGTCAAGAACAGAAACAATGTTCTTTTCCTGAGCTTGCTTTTATAGGAGGAGAGGGAGATGCAATCCAGGGCTGTGGCAGGAGCCTTGGCCCCTATGGCAGGTTCTGCAGCGTCCTGGAAATTCCCATCCCCCACCCCATCCATCCCCCACCTCTCTCAATTGACATCCCATGTGTAGAGAACATCTGCTGTGCACATATGCCCAGCACTTCTTCCCTTCCTTGAGTAACAGAAACTCAGCTTTCCTTTGGGAAACTCAAACTCCCCAATTCCATGCATTCCTGGTGGGGCTGCCAGCCACAGGACTCTCCCAACCCTCCATTCTCAAAGGGTGAGCATAGACCCAAGATCTGTCAGACTTTTTCCTGGGGAATTTGAATCTGAGTTGGAGTCATTACCCATAATGGAAGGCAGTTGCTTTAGAATCATCCAAAGCCAGACAGCTCATGAGTTCCCGCTACCCAGACCCCCAAAGCTGCCCTGGTCCCTTCTCAGGCCTGAGTGTTGAAGGCCTCCTTCAGTACCATGTATCTTTCCAACAAATTCTCTTTCGCCACTTATGTTTGCCAGAGCCAGCTTCTGTAACTTGCAGCCAAAGCTGATGTGTATCCCATACGCTTGTATCCCAGCCTTCTTTTCCAGCCCTTTCTCTTTCTCATGTTCTACCTGAAAATCCATTTTTACTTTCCACACCCTGAAAACCTTTATGCCCCCTAACCTTTTTCCCCTGTCAAGAACGCTTAGGAAAGAGTCTATCCCCAATCTTTTTTTTGGGAGGGGGGGCGGCGGGAGGGAGTCTCACTCTGTCGCCAGGCTGGAGTGCAGTGCCACGATCTCAGCTCACTGCAACCTCTGACTCCTGCGTTCAGGCAATTCTCCTGTCTCAGCCTCCCGAGTAGCTGGGATTACAGGTGCCTGCCACCACGCCCAGCTGATTTTTGTATTTTTAGTAGAGATGGGTTTCACCATGTTGGCCAGGATGGTCTTGATCTCCTGACTTCATGATCCACCTGCCTTGGCCTCCCAAAGTGCTGGGATTACAGGTGTGAGCCACCGTGCTGGGTCTTTACCCAATCTTTATACTTCAGAGTAAATGAAAACATTCTCTTTGATCTCCTCTTGGGCAGATGCATTTCTAAGTGCTGACCGAGTGCCTTAGCATCTTGTTTCAGAAATCAGAAGTATTCGTGAAGAGGTGGGAGAGAGATTTCAGGGGGCAGAGTAGACTTTCCCTAAAACGCCCTGCCATGAACCCTGACCCCTTCTCCCCTGCACTTATCCGTCACTTGGATGCAGTGGGAATTGCCTTGTCCCAGACCTGGTCTGTTGGGCAGCTGTTTATATCGGTTCTCTGGGAATTATCCCCTGATACTCATTAAGTTTTGTTCCCACTGGAGTTACCTGCCTCAAGCTGTAAGATCACAATTCCATGCAACTAAGCACCTCCAGTGTGTGTAAGGTTCTGAGTCAGGTGTCTGAGATACAGCTGTTCATGTTTGCAGTCTTGTTGAGCAAACAGAGCCAAACCCACCATGCTGACTACATGAACTGAATGCTGTGGGAGAGCTGAGCCCATGGCCCTAGGATTGCAAAGCAGGGAGGGCTGGAGTCCACCTAGCCTGTCTCTCTCAGCTGGTATATAAATTGGAGTTCTTTTTTTTTTTTTTTTTTTTTTTTTTGAGAGTCTCACTCTGTCACCCAGGCTGGAGTGCAGTGGCACAATCTTAGCTCACTGCAACCTCTGCCGCCTGGGTTCAAGTGATTCTCCTGCCTCAGCCTCCTGAGTAGCTGGGACTACAGGTGCCCGCCACAATGCCCAGCTAATTTCTTTTGTATTTTTAATAGAGATGGTGTTTCACCATGTTGGCCAAGCTGGTCTCAAATTCCTGATCTCAGGTGATCTACCCCTCTTGGCCTCCCGAAGTGCTGGGATTACAGGTGGGAGCCACTGTGCCCAGCTAGAGTTCTTTTCTTATGAGCAATAAGGATTCTAATTTTTATTTTTTGTTATTTATTAATTTATTTTTTGAGACAGGGTCTCGCTCCGTCACCCAGGCTGGAGTGTGTGCCGAGATCATGGCTCATGGCAGACTTCAACTCCCGCGCTCGAGCAGTTCTCCAGCCTCAGCTTCCCAAGTAGCTGAGACCACAGGTGTGTGCTACGACGCCTGAATAATATTTTGATTTTTTGTAGAGATGGAATCTCACCATCTTGCCAAGGCTGATCTCAAACTCCTGGGCCCAGTGATCCTCCAACCTTGGCCTCCCAAAGTGCTGGGATTACAGGTGTGAGCCACTGCACCTGGCCAGGACTCTCATTTGTACATTAAAAAAGAGTAAGGTTACCACAAAGATTTTAGGAGCAAACATAATAGAAATAAGAACTGAACAAGTAGATAGGAAGAATGCCAGGAATGTAGGCAGTAATGAGGCTCCCAGCCCCGGGAACTTTTTGGGGAGCTGCGATTGGATGGTTTAGTTATAACTGTGTGTCTCTGCTTCAGGGCCAAATCATGGGAGAGAATCTGATTGGGCCAGTTTGGGTTGTTTGCCCCATTGCAAATATTGCAACTGGCTGTTCCATCAGACAGCCTAGAAAAGGGAAGAGCAGTTCCCTAAAGGAAAATGGATGCTGGTAGGAGAATAAGAGAGGAAGGATGCTGGGCAGACAGAGCCCGTGATAGTCACAGGCTGGAGGGTGCCACCCTGTCTGCGGGGTGCACTATTCCCTTGTGCTGTTTCCATAGCAACCATAGGCCGAGCAAAAGGCTGGAATCAATGAAAATCACTGGGTGCAGAGAGGGTTCAGTCCTCTTGTGTTATAGGTGGATAAACTGAGGCCCCAAGGGGAGAGGCCACTTGTCTGTGGTCACAGCCTTAGGTTTTCACCTGCAGCCAATGTTGATGCTGAACCAGGAGTGCACAGGGTCAAACTGGATCCACAGGCTCTGCTTCTGGTAGGAATTTTCTGTACCAGAGGTGGGGTGGGGGTGAGGGTCCATATGAAAGCCACTGGGAGGGGCCACCCTGCCTGTGAAAGGTTAATGCAGATGTTCTGTAAATATTTATCCACCTGCGTTGGGCCCACTGGAGCTGGGAGGTAGAGTCAGCACCCCTCCACTTCTAACACCATGCCCAGGATGCAGGCAGAAAGGCCACTCTCGAGTCCCTGGATCCTGGACGTCGGAGAGGAAAAACTACCTGCTGGGGTGATCTGCCCCCTGCACGCACACAAAAGACAGCCCCTGCTGTCTGTCTAGAGCTGTGTCTAGCTCCTGGCTCCAGTGAGGCTTTGTGAGTGATCCTTGGGGCTCCCAAAGTGACCCTCCTCCTGGGTCTCAGGACAGTCCACTGCAGAAGTCACCAGGCTCAGGCCTCCTTCCAGCCCTCGGCTCTCCCCTGCCAGGCCTAGCCAGATCTTCCCAGTCCCAGACAAGCCCTGCCTTAGTGTTTACAGTCTGTGAATACTTGTGGCCATTTCTGCTGCCCTGACGGGGCAGGATGGACTTGCCCATTCCGTCTGCCCTTTTAAGTCAGTCAACTGTCCAGCCTTTGGCTCAGTCCAGCTGTTCTCCTCAGGGCCGGTGCCTGCAGCTGACAACCCCCCTGGGGCCTCCTCCCTCCCCAGGGTTGGCAGGGTGCCTCTGTAGCCCCTTGGCTTTCTCTCCTCCATGCCGCAGTCCCTTGGCATCTTTCTAATCCCCTTTCCCCCAGGAGGTCTTGTTTCAGCCTCATCTGATCAGCCCTCACCTCCCAACCCCTTCTCCTGGCTGTTCCAGCCTCTAGCTTGAGATTCCAGGGGATGGGGAGGGGACAGGCCCTGTTTCCACCACGCTCGGTCTTTTCCCGTCCAGCTGGCATGGGGAGGATCTTCCCTTGCTGGCCTTCACACGCTGTGCCGTTTCCGTCTGCTTCCAGCTCATTAGTGCAGGTATGATGGGAGCCAGACTTGCCTCTTGCCCAACACTGACCTCACGGCTCCTGCTCAGCGACCCCTTCCCGTCCCCTGCCCCAGCTCCCAGTGCTTCCCACCCAGTCTGGAACACTTGGATACAGCACACAGTGTGCGGCCTCCTCCCTACACCTGGCCCCTCCACAGGTTCTCACTCTCTCTCTCAGATTTTCCCTGGCCTGGTTCTCTTTCAGGGTCTGGAAATGGGGAGGCCTTTCTGCCTGGGCAGCCTGTGGATCTAGCCAAACCTTCCTCAGCCAACCCCAAGCCAGGGTGAAAGTCCACTGGCAGGTTTTGTTGGGGCGAGCTAAGGAGGTAGTGAACTCCCAGGGCTGGACAGGACCCCCTCAAATCATCTTAGCCCTTCCAGTGTCTTCTGGGAAACATCACAACCATCCCGGATTGCTGAGCATTTACCAGTTTTCTTGGACAACTGACTTCCCCACTTCCCCTTACCTTTAATAAGAAGAAACGTCACATGAACCGTTTTTTGTTTTGTTTTGTTTTGTTTTGAGACAGGGTCTCACTCTGTTGCCCAGGCTGGGGTGCAGTAGTGCGATCTCAGCTCACTGCAACCTCTGCCTCCCCTGCTCAAGTGATCCCTACCACCTCAGCCTCCCGAATAGCTGGGACTACAGGGCATGCACCACCACGCTCGGCTAATTTTTTGTATTTTTGGTGGAGACAGGGTCTTGCTGTGTTGTAAAGGCTGGTCTCAAACTCCTGAGCTCAAGTGATCCACCTGCCTCAGCCTTCCAAAGTGCTGGGATTGTAGGTGTGAGCCACTGCACTTGGCCACGATCCTTTTTTAATGCGTAGAATCTCTTGCTGCCCTCACTCCCTGCACATACTCACCCACCCAGCCTGTGTTGCACTGACTTATTTTCCACTGCAGTTTTTGTCAACTCCCCTTTTCTTGTGCTCAGTGTGAAGAATACCGCTCACTGTCTTCTATATGGGACAAACAAGCAAATGAAGAAAACGCCTTGGTATAGGTGAAGATCTGACAGAGCCTGCCCTTGGCCTCCTTTTTCTTCAGGCTGAGGGGTTCCAAGGCCTTTCTTCTGGGGACATATAAACTGCCCATCCTGCTGCTCCTTCATGCCTTACCCTCTTGGTTTGCCCTTAGTTATCCCCACCTCTGTTAAGGACTCCGGCAGCTGAGCCTGTACCTCTAGCCCAGGTGGGCATTGAAATGCACATGTGGGTTGTGAAATCACCATAGTGAGTCACAACCAGCATTAAAAACAAAACAGGGCCAGGCGTGGTGGCTCACGTCTGTAATCCCAGCACTTTGGGAGGCCGAGGCAGGTGGATCACCTGAGGTCAGAAGTTCAAGACCAGCCTGGCCAACATGGTGAAAACCCGTCTCTACTAAAAATACAAAAATTAGCTGGGCATGGTCATGGGTGCCTGTAATCCCAGCTACTAGGGAGGCTGAGGCAGGAGAATTGCTTGAACCTGGGAGGCAGAAGTTGCAGTGAGCCGAGATGGTGCCATTGCACTCTAGCCTGGGCAACAAGAGCGAAACTCCATCTCAAAAAAAAAAGTAATTAGTATGAGTTGTGGTTAAAAGGTTTGAAAGCCACTGCTCCCAGCTGACATGTGCTGCTGGTACCATTTGGTGTGGAAGTGGGAACACAGTCATCTGTGAGCCTGATGGGCCCCAGTGTTTCCTTAGATTCAGGGCATGTGGAAGAAAAGACCAGAGAAGGCAAAACCTGGGACACTGTCTCCTGGAACCCAGGGGAGCAATATGGGCTATGGGATGGTTGTTTGTGGAATGGGGGCTGGGGGTGGAGGGGCTGCAGGTCAGATGGTCCCCGGAGTTCCTTTTGGCTCTGAGGTTCTGCTGAGGCCCACTTCACACTACCTTTACCTTTCCCCTCCCACATCCTGGGAGAGTAACCTGAGGTCCCTTGGTTCCAACTCCTCCTGCCACGAAATATAGTATTAGGAAGCAGTGTAGTTCTAATTCCTTGTCACATGGGATGCCCCCTGTGGCTGGGCATGCAGCAGTTCGGAGATCAAGATTGCCATCTGTACAATGGGAAGCATGTACTGTTGCTGTCACCTCCTCCTTCCTCCCCAGCTGGAGTTCTTGTACAGAGACAAGAAAGAAAGATGTTTGACTTGACTTCATGAGGCAGGCTCAAAGCATGCACTTGGCTCTTTTTCCTTCAGCTCTGTTACCTAGCCTGGTTGGCATTTTCCTTGCAGTTTTGGGGCAGTTTCCTCGTATTAATGAATGAGCAGAATGAACGACTGCAAGCTCTGTGAGGGGGCCTGGCACATAGAAGATGCCCAGGAAATGTTGGCTGGGAGAATGGATTGCCTCTTGTGTGTCCTTTTTGGTGACCAGGCAGCACCGTAGCTTGTCAGGCCCACTCTGGGAGTTGTCAAGGATTCCTTCCCCTTTGCTATGGGTTCAAAGTTCATGTTGGAACAATGCCAGCTGACACAGACCTGACCATCAGCAGCTCAAGCAGTGCAGAAGCTCCACACAGCTTTCCAAGTTTTTTATTTTTTAAAAACAGGGTCTTGCTATGTTGACCAGTTCTGAAACTCCTGGGCTCAAGCAGTCCTTTCACCTCAGCCTCCCAAGTAGCTGGGACTACGGGTGCGCACCACCATGCCTGGCTAGGTGCTTTATATCCTCCTCCTCTTCCTATCTCAGGAACCCTCCACACAGTTACCATGAACTTCATCTTGTAGCCTCTCCTTCCCACATCTTATCCCTGGGGAAATGTTGTGTGAGGGTGAGGCAGAGACACAAAGACAGCTGGCCCCACATATTTAAAAAGGAGGACCAGTCCTCCCATGCCATCTCCCTTGCCCTTCAGTCTCTTTCTCCTGGTCTCCCAGGATTACTCAGTTCTCTCCACTGACTTTGGGAAAACCTGCTGTTGTGTGATCACCCACCCCTGGGCTAGCTCATTACTCAAGGGAGCCATCAGAGGTTGAAGGACCCCTACCCAACAGCAGTGAGGTCCCTGGGGCTTCAGGAGGCTGGGCCATTCTGCCTTCCCACAGGTCAAGCTCTCAATGCTTGAGATGAGGAGCCCAAGGCCAGGGGTGGAGAAGAGGTCTTCAGCAAAGAGAAGTCATGAAATCTTAGGAAAACCCTGGGCCTTTCACAGACTCGTACTCCTTAAAGATCTTCCTTCCATGTAGAAATCCCTTCTACAATGCCTCATCCAGGCTCTCTTTGAATACTACCGGTGTCAGAGAGCTCATTCATTACTCAGCAGTGGGATCTGTCCTGCCGTTGGAGAGCTCCACGTGCTGCATTTACTAGAGCGGAAATCTGTATTTCCATGTTTTTGCTGTTCCTAGTCCTGAATCTGAAACTCTATTGTGAACTCCACTGTGATAAATAAAGTACTATTTTTTTTTTTTTTTGAGATAGATTCTTGCTCTGTTGCCCAGGCTGGAGTACAGTGGCGCGATCTCAGTTCACTGCAACCTCCGCTTCCCAGGTTCAACTGATTCTTGTGCCTCAGCCTTCCAAGTAGCTGGGATTACAGGTGTACACCACCATGCCTGGCTAATTTTTGTATTTTTAGAAGAGACAGGGTTTTGCCATGTTGCCCAGGCTGGTCTCGAACTCCTGGGGTCAAGCATCAGCCTGCCTCCACCTCCCAAAGTGCTGGGATTGTAGGGGTGAGCCATCGTGCCTGGTTAATGGAAACTATTAAGTTTCCATTTTATGTGACACCTCGGTGGCTTTGCCTAGAGTTGGCCACAGTTTCCTTCTTTAAAATGTCTCTTTCATCGGGTTCTATGGCACTTCCCCTTTCCACTTCGGACTTTTCTTCATTATCTCCTTTGCAGGATATTCTCCTTTCCCCAACCTTGAAGTACGAAACTCCTCTCTCTTTTTTTTTTTTTTGAGACATAGTTTCACTCTTGTCACTCGGGCTGGAGTGCAATGACACGATCTCAGCTCACTGCAACCTCTGCCTCCCAAGTTCAAGCCATTCTCCTGCCTCAGCCTCCCAGGTAGCTGGGATTACAGGCATGCACCACCACACCCTGCTAATTTTTGTATTTTTTTTTTTTTTTTTAGTAGAGACAGGGTTGTGCCATGGTGGCCAGGCTGGTCTGGAACTCCTGACTTCAGGTGATCCGCCTGCCTTGGCCTCCCAAAGTGCTGAGATTACAGGCGTAAGCCACCTCCTCGCCTGCCCGAAATTCTTTTTTTTTTTTTTTTGAGACAGAGTTTTGCTTTTGTTGCCCAGGCTGGAGTGCAATAGCTCTATCTTGGCTCACCGCAACCTCCACCTCCCAGGTCCAAGCAATTTTCCTGCCTCAGCCTCCCAAGTAGCTGGGATTACAGGCATGTACCACCACGCCCAGCTAATTTTGTATTTTTAGTAGAGATGGGGTTTCTCCATGTTGGTCAGGCTGTTCTCCTGACCTCAGGTGATCCGCCTGCCTTGGCCTCCCAAAGCGCTGGGATTACAGGCGTGAGCCACCACGCCTGGCCTGAAACTCTTAACTCTTATAAAAAAAATTATAGAGGCATATATTGTATATCATATAATCTACCATTTTCAAGTGCATAATTCAATTTTTAGTAAACTTACCAAGTTTTACAACCATCACTGTAAATCAATATTGGAACATTTTATCATCCCAATAAGATGTGATGCCCATTTACTGTTAACCCTCGCCCTTAAATATACTTTTTGTCTCTCTCTGTGACAGAGTCTCTCTGTGTTACTTAGGCTGGATTTGAACTCCTGGGCTCAAATGATACTCTTGCCTCAGCCTCCTGAATAGCTGAGACTACAGGTGTGCACCACACCCAGCTAATTTTTAATTTTTTTTGTAGAGATAGGTTCTTACCAGACCATTTTGTAGAGACAGAGTCTTGCTATGTTGCCCAGGCTGGTCTTGAACTCCGGGCCTCAAGTGATCCTCCCCGCTCGGCCTCCCAAAGTGCTGGTATTACAGACATGAGCCACCGCACCTGGCTTCTGAGCCCTGGATTCTATCCAAGATGGCACTAGACCTTTAAGGAAGTTGTATTGTTAGTTTATTTTGAACCAGTAGCTACCTAGGCTCTCCCTATTCACTGCTGAATAGTTTGCACCACTGTCTCCCCAAATTTGGGTCATTTCACATGAGCTGGTATCAAAACAAGTATCTCTTTTTTTTTCTCTTTTTTGAGATGGAGTCTCTCTCTGTCACCCAGGCTGGAGTACAATGGCGTGATCCTGGCTCACTGCAACCTCCGCCTCCCGGGTTCAAGCATTTCTCCCGCCTCAGCCTCCCAAGTAGCTGGGAGTCCTGAACTCCTGACCTCATGTGATCCACCCACCTCGGCCTCCCAAAGTGCTGGGATTACAGGCTTGAGCCACCACGCCCGGCCCAAAGCAAGTATCTCTTATCCTTAAGTTAATTATTAATTTATCTGGACCAAGATGTAAGACTTTTTTACTTATCTCTATTAAATTTCTAGATAAGATCAGTTTATATTTTGCTTCTATCATCCAGTTTTATCATTTATTCTTCTAGTTCTATGTCATGTGAAAATTTGATAAAAATTATTTTTCTTTTCTTTTTCTTTTTTTTTTTGAGATGGAGTTTTGCTCTTCTTGCCCAGGCTGGAGTGCAATGGTGTGATCTCGGCTCACCGCAACCTCCACCTCCCGGGTTCAAGCAATTCTCCTGACTCAGCCTCCCGAGTAGCCGGGATTACAGGCAAGCATTACCACACCTGGCTAATTTTTTTGTATTTTTAGTAGAGACAGGGTTTCTCCATGCTGGTCAGGCTGGTCTGGAACTCCCAACCTCAGGTGATCCACCTGCCTCAGCCTCCCAAAGTGCTGGGATTACAGGCGTGGGCCACTGCGCCCGGCCTAAAAATTATTTTTCTGATCTCAAAATTGTGAGAAGTTTTGTGTAGGTTACATCCCTGTCTCATGCATGTTTATAGGTCTCAATGACCTCCATTCATTCATCAATGTGGGGAATGGTTGTTTAAACATCTACACATATGCCTAATTGCATTACCATGAGCTCCACATTTTCTCAGCCTATCCACATTGAATATCATTTCCATTTCATTTGAATATCATTAAAAATAGGACAACATTTCTCTGGTCAGGAACCCTATTGAAAAAGGAACTGGGGCTGGGTTCTGTGGCTCACATTTGTAATCCTAGCACTTTGGGAGGCCAAGGCGGGAGGACTGCTTGAGACCTGGAGTTTGAGACCAGCCCTGGGTAACATGGCAAGACCCTGTCTCTACAAAAAATACAAAAATTAGCCGAGCGTGCTGGCGCGCACCTGTAGTCCCAGCTGCTTGGGAGGCTGAGGTGGGAGGATCGCTTGAGCCTGGGAGGCAGAGGTTGCAATGAACCAAGATTGGGCCACATCACTCTAGTAGAGTGAGACTCTGTCTTAAAAAAAAAAAAAGAAACGGGGTTGAATGGGGTGTGGTTTAGTTTGTGTGAACCTGGCTCTGGTAATCACAGCTTTGCCTTCTCTTCCTCAGCCTTTTCACCTTCTCCTGGCTGAGACATGCCCAGCCTTCCAGCCCCAGCTCAGACAGCATCTTCTCTAGGACCTTCCCTGACCATCCTATGCTCCCAGGCTGGATTAGGTACCCTGTCCTTGTATTCACATTGTACCCTGATCTTATCTCACTCACAGCACTTACCATGATATGTACTGTCTGCCTTTCCTACTATACTGGCAGCTGCTTGAGGGTAGGGACCGTCCTTAGCCTTATTCTTCTTGGCAACTCTGATGCCTGACAAAGGGATACTCAAGAAATAATGGCTGAAATGCACCAGGCACTCCTCAGGTATCTGTTTGATGTCAAGCACATAAGGCTTCTCTATCTATGAAGCAAAGCTATGAGGGAGGCCGAAGAGCAGGTGGGCTTGGAGATGTATATTGTGACACCCGGCATGATATAACTTCAACTTGAGCTTATGGGATCAGAGAAGAACCTGAGGCCCAGCAAGAATGAGTGACTGGGGACAAGAGCCTGACTGAGGCTGAGTCCCCAGAGGAACCCGGGGGGTCCAAAGGGAGTAGGAAATTCAGAGAGGGTTTAGAAAAGTGGAGGTAGCTGGGGCAAGGAAGAGACACAGTCTGGCTAGTGGGTCATGGCGGCAGGAGCCCAGGGGCCAGGCCAGAGCTGTTGCACTGGCAGCTCCTCACTTTCTAGAAAAGAGAAGCCATGGGGGGATGCAGTGCTGGGAAGCAGGACTGGGCATTGTTTTAAGCATGGCAAATACCTGTCTGGCATCTGTACGACTTTATGTTTAGATGTTTATTTTGGGGTGGCTTTAGTGAGGGTTGATGAGAATAAGATCATGCTGCTTCCTCCTCACCCAAGTGACCTCCCTGTTAACCAGAAGACATCAGTTTCAGAATTCCAGGTAGTTGTCTGCCCACTCTGGGGCCAGCTGGTGGCTTGGATGTGGGAAAAAGATTCTTTTTTCCTTTTCTTTTCTTTTTTTTTTTTTTTTTTGAGACTGAGTTTTGCTCTTGTTTTTACCAGGCTGGAGTGCAATGGTGTGATCTCAGCTCACTGCAACCTCCGCCTCCCGGATTCTAGTGATTCTCCTGCCTCAGCCTCCTGAGTAGCTGGGATTACAGGTGCGTGCCACCATGCCCAGCTAATTTTTTTGTATTTTTAGTAGAGACGGGGTTTTGCCATGTTGGCCAGGCTGGTCTTAAACTTCTGACCTCAGGTGATCCACCCGCCTTGGCCTCCCAAAGTCCTGGGATTACAGGCGTGAGCCACCGTGCCTGGCCAGATTCCTTTTTCTGAGCGAAGGAGCTCGTTAGAGCTAAGCTCCACATGCATTAGCCCCAGCCTTCCCCTCCAGCCTCCTCCCTTTCCATAACCTTCTTTCTATGGAAACTTCAGCCATACAAGCTTCTTGCAATCCTTCCAGTCACTCAGGATTTGCACGTTCACTGCCTTTGCCTTGGCATGCCCCACCCTTCCCCATATGCTAAACTGCTTCTTAGACTTTAAGATTTAAGTCAGAGGCTGGGCACAGTGACTCACATTTATATTCCCAGCACTTTGGGAGGCCGAGGCGGGTGGATCACTTGAGCTCAGGAGTTCGAGACAAGCCTGGGTAACATGGTGAAACCCCGTCTCTATAAAAAAGACAAAAAGTAGCCAGGCATGGTGGTGTGTGCCTGTGGTTCCAGCTACTTGGGAGGTTGAGGTGGGAGGATCACTTGAGCCCAGGAGGCAGAGGTTGCAGTGAGCTGAGATTGCACCACTGCACTCCAGCCTGGGTGAAAGTAAGACCCTGTCTCCAGTAAAAAAAAAAAACAAAAAACATTTAAGTCAGAAACCAGGCGTGGTGGCTCACACCTGTAATCCTAGCATTTTGGGAGGCCGAGGAGGATGGATTACTTGAGCTCGGGAGTTTGGAACCAGCCCAGGGAACATGGTGAAACCCTGTCTCTACGAAAAATACAAAAATTAGCCGAGTGTGCTGGTGCATGCCAGTAGTCCCAGCTGCTTGGGAGGCTGAGGTGGGAGGATCTCTTGAGCCTTGGTTTGAGGCTGCAGTGAACTGTGATTGTGCCACTGCACTCCAGCCTGGATGACACAGCAAAACCCTGTCTCAAAAAAGATTTAAGTCAGAGTCATGACTTTCTGAGAAATGTTCTCCAACCAAGCCCCTCCTCGCACAATTAGCAGTTTTTCAGTAAGTCCAAAAGGCTGTGTCAATTCCCCTATGGAAGCACTTAACATCACAAAGGGAGTGAAGTTGTCCCCGTGCCTAGCACAGTGCCTGACACATATTAGGTGCTCAAAAAATGTCTGTGGAATGGGAGGGCATCATGATCCCAGCCAAACAGGCTGAATTTTAGAAATGGGTGCTTGGAAGCATCTCAGGCAGTGAAAGGAATTCCAGGCTTCACAAAATAGTGTGCCTGAGGATACCAATACACAACCTGAGACGGAGATTGCGGGTGGGAGGTCTCAGCAGCCAGGCAGGGGTGGATAGTGTGTGTGTGAGTTGCGGGGGGCACTCCATGGAGCAGTGGCTTTATCAGAAATGGGGACTGTTTCCCTTCAACCATCATGGACCCTTCCCTGTTTCTTCTTGTCAGCCAGAGGAGGGAAGCTGCTGACAGCTCATCTCCAATACGCCCTCCGGGACCCTCGAGCCACCCCTCTCCACCAGCAGCTTTGCCACTTACACTCACCATCAGAGATGTTCCCAAGCCCCGAGGCCCTGCCCTGACATGCATAGTGACTCTTGGCTTCCCTGGCCCAGACGGCCAGATAGCTCCCAGCTTCTTGCAGCAGCTGAAAGAGTTGAAAGGCCTGGGAGTCAGGAGGCCCTGGTTCAAGTGCTGGCCAATAACCAGTCACATGACCTTGGGCCAGCATCTCTCCCTCTTTGGGCCTCAGTTTGCCCTGCCATAAATTGAAGAAATGGGATGGCCTATCTCGGGGAGTCCCCTCCACATGCACATTCTGTGGACCCTGCAGTTCCTTGGATCCACATGCTCTCCTTATCTGTCTGCTGCTCAAATCAAAATCTTAGTGTTGACAGGGAATTTGTAAAAATCTTCTTTTTGTAGATGAGGAATCTGAGGCCCAGGGAGGGGAAGGGGTGTGATCAGAAAGATGTACTAAGGGCAGACACAGAATTCCAACTGGAGTCTGCTCCCAGACATGATCTGACTTTGGTTTTAATGACTGCTTGGAATGGAAGAATTCTTTGCACCAAAGCCGCCCATGTGCCTAGCATAGGTTCACATAGGGTATGGCTGGTGCCTCTTCAGCCTTCTGTAGGCAATCAGTTCAGGGTCCATCCTTTTGATCCTGTAGTAGAAGCCAACCAACCTAGACCAAGCCCTGGTGGGGAGACCTGAGCTCTAGCCTTCTCTGTGTAACTGACTAGCTGTGTGACCCTGGGCAAGTCACTCCACCTCTCTGGCTTTATTGCGGTGTGGTTATACGAGCTCCATTGGGCTGTAAGCTCTAGGGAACATGGACTTGTCTGTTTTAATCCCAGGGGGTTGGCTTTCAAAGTAAAGTTTCTTAGTTGAAATTTCAGAGAGAATCTCATTTGTTCAGCAACCAATGATGTCTGTATTTAAGTCAGCCCACAGAAATCTTAGGTCACTGACTGGCCAGTGAAAGGGCTGCCTGTGGCTCAGGTGCTTATCTTTGGTTCAATCCACTGTGGCCTGGAGTGTTATGTCACTGATAAGTACAGTTGCTTTTTCTAGGCATTGTTTAGAAAGGTATCTATTGGATCTCTATTGTCTTGGTGAGGAAACTGGCTCAATGAGTCACTTAGCCCAGGGCACATAACTGGTAAATGATGGTGCTGAGGTTAGAACCACAAAGCCCCTTGTTCTTCCTACTACTCCAGGACCCATAGCTGTGGACTAGTCATGCAGAGCAGAGTGCAGTACGTTGAGGGCTACAGGGATTTGGTGGAAGCAGCAAACTTTCCAGATGGAGGGAGGTGCCCAGGAAGTCTTCATGGAAGAGGCGGCCTTTAAAATGGGAGTTTAAACAAACAGGCAGGGGTGGTGAAGAACATTCCAGATCAAGGAAATAATGTCAGCCAAGGTGTTTGGGTGAGGGGATGGGGGAGAGGAAACTGGGTGGGATTCTGAGAGGGTGAGACTGTGCGGAGTGTCAGCATACATGGCTGGGAGGGTTATGAAACAAGCTTGTGTGTCAAACCCAGTAAGAAGTTTGGGATTGATTTGTGAAGTAGTGGGGATCCATTGAAGGTTGTTGAGCAGGTGAGTGACTTAATCAGAAATGGGCTGCCAGAAAATGTATGGTTAGTTCCCTATAAGTCTGTTCCTCCTGGGAGGCACAGGCTGTTTCACCTTTGCTGTTGTCTTCAGTCAGAAATGGGGAGGAACGGAACAGAGCTGAGGAGATGCCGCTGGCACCACCACTGTTAGGCGGAGGACCAGAGGGGGAGTAAGAAGACAGTGGGCAGGGCCAGGCCTTCATGGCAGGTCATGGGGGGTGAAGAGGAGGAGGAGCAGCTGGAGACGACTTTCCTTCCTCTCTTGGCCATCAGCCTCCTCTGGCCTGAGGTCTGGTCTGGTGAGGCAGAGTACAGAGCATGCCTGTGCTGTCTGTGTGAGTTCCTGAGGAGTGAGATCTTTAATTTTTGTCTGCTGAGCCCTGATGGGCGAGAGGCCAGCCTGTGTTACAACCTCTTGGGGGCCCCTGGGCCAAGGCACTCAGACCACAGTGGACGGAAACAAGGAATGAGTCATTCAGACTAGGACTAGCCGGGGCCCACTGGGATCTGCTGCACCTCGCCTGCCCCCTCAGCCTGGTGTCTGTGCCCTTTCCTGGGGATTTGCCAGGTCTGGGTCTGTTCCTGAGGGACTGGGGCCCTAGAGAGGGTATTGGGGGCACCAGGGCAAACATCATTGAGCCCCCACTCTCCATGGATGATCCAGGGAAAATGGACTCAGGGGATGATGGCAGAAGGCATCCTCTTCCTCTCTTTGTCTTGACAATGGAGAGTGAGAGGGAGCTGGCTTGCAGGCCTCCCTGGGGAGAGCTTGTTTTAGGAAAGACCCTACTGTAGACCTTCCTCTCTGCCCCTGCATCCCTCATCCCTCAGGGTGTGAGGAGTGTTACTATGACCCAGCTCAAAGCCAAGGTGGGCACAGGCTGGAAGATGCCAGCGACAGCCAAGGGAAGCTGCTTCTTGTCCTTTTTTGTCCTCAAATTCCTGCACAGCCATTCTAGAAGCCTAGATAGGCCTGCACAATCCCCCAGCCCACAGGGTTTTCTTCCTGGGGATTTTGAAAGAATAATCCAGGTACATGAGCTCTCCCCATCTGGGTAACTCTCTCCACCTCCAGCAGAGCATATGAAGTCCCCTTGGTCTCACTGGGAGGAATTACAGGGAGGAGGTCTTCCAGCTGCTCACACTGTTGTCCTGCTCAGGTCTTCAGAGACTGTGCTTGAGGAGAAGTTATGCTTCAGGCTCCCCCGGGGGTTTAGAAGATTCCTCCACCCCTCCACCCCCAGCCAGGGACTGAAGGAATTTATGCAGGTAAATAGGAAATGACATCTCAGCTTATAGTGAATGGCACGGAGCTTTCAGATCAGCCCACCCATGCACCAGAGACTGGAAATGAAGGGAAGCGAAGTGAACTAAGTGATTTGAAAGAGCTGCCCATTTCCCATCATTGCAGGACACCCTGGTGTGAGTGCAGTGTGCTGCAGGGAAAACAGCATGGACTTTGGAGTTGTTCAGACTTTTTAGTTGAATCCTGGCTCAACTCCCAGCTGTGTGGCCTTGAGCAAGCGACTACCCCTCTGGGCTTGTGAAATGGGAATGGCAACACCTCTACCACACAGAGCTAAATAGACATTGTATGTATGTCATTTCTCTTTCCCAAAGAGAAAAGCTACGAGTTGAGATGAGCTCTATTCAGCAACTGCAGACTACTTGATGGAGGTGGGGTGAGTGTGGCTGTGACTTCCTTCCTTCTTCTCTGTGGGTGCGAATCAGATTCACCGCCCTGACTCAGAGCGGACCCCTAGCTGGTAAACAGGCCTGAGGAGAATGGGGGATGCTTGGTGGGGGCTGACCTGTGACCACAGTCCCATGCAGCCATTAGCACCCCCACCACACCACAAACAGCTGTGCATGCTTCCAGCTCTGAGAAAAATGCAGCTGTCGGTGGTCTCCCTTCCCCTGGAAGCTGGCATTGGTTTAGCATCTGGGACCAGACAAACCAGGAGTGAATCCCAGCGCAGCCACCTACTGGCTTGTGACTGTGGATGAGTCATTTACTTCCCCGAGCCTTCATTTCCTCATCTGCTATGTGGGGAAATAATAGCACTTCCTTCATCAATAGCGCTTCTCATTAAACAAGGAAGTGACTATAAGATGACTTGGCACAGTGCCTGGTACCTTCTGAGTGCTCAAGAAATACCAAGGCTGGATGTGGTGGCTCACACCTATAATCCCAACACTTTAGGAGGCCGAGACGGGAGGATCACTTGAGTCCAGGGGTTCAAGACCAGCCTGGGCAAAATGGCAAAACCCCGTCTCTACAAAAAATACAAATTAGCCAGGCTTGGTGGCGTGCACCTACAGTCCCAGCTACTTGGGGGGCTGAAGCTGGAGGATTGCTTGAACCCAGGAGGTGGATGCTGCAGTGAGCCGAGATTGTGCCACTGCACTCCAGCCTGGGTGACAGAGTGAGACCCTGTCTCAAACAAACAAACAAACAATAAATGAAATATCAGTTGGTAAATGGAGGAGTAGTAATTGACACCTGCCCCTAGCCCCATGACAGGGTAAACAGGGCTGGCTAGCTAGTTTGTCCTGAAGAGAAAAATGGCAAAAAGAACATCATTATCTCAACTTTCAGATAAGAAAGTAGAAGCCAAATGAAGCTCAGAACTGTGCTGCATTCACAGAAGACGGAAATGAGCTCAGAACTGTGCTCCGCTCACAGAAGACGTAAATGTTCACCACATGTTTGTGGGAGGGCCCTTTCCAGCACACTCTGAAATACAGGCCAGCTCACCTTACCTTTGCAGGAACATCCATACCATGGCTATCACCACCAGCCAGCATGTCATACCCACTTGGAGGAGACAGGCACCGGCAGACCAGGGCAGGGTGGTTGTGAATTCTTGAGGGGACGCCAGGTCATGGCACCTAAGGTGGAATGGTTCTGGCAGCCTTTGCGGGCCTTAACAACCTCACACAGGAGGGAGTCGGCACCTCTCTGTACGGCCTGCACCTTCCAAACTGGAGGCTGAGGCTGCGCAGTGCTGGGGTCCCAGCTGCCCAGTGTCTGGAGCAGAACATCCAAGCCCATGAGCGGCTCCCGTCTGGAAGGCTGGGGGCCCAGTCAAACTTTCCTTCAGCGATTCTGCCCTCTGATTAACCAGGAAATGTGTTATTTGTTCTGAGCAGGGGAACAAGCTCTCCTGGGGAGAGGAATTCAGGGCTGGAGGTCCAGTTACTTCCAAGCAAGAAAAATCCCTGGAATTCTTTCAGGAGTCTGGGTCTCAGCAAAGGGGGCCGAAATGTGGCCCTTGTTTTTGGTCCTTATTTACCAAATTAGCTCAGGTTCTGGTAGACCTCTGGCTGCCAACATTATTCCAGTGAGACATGGAAAAGCAGTGAGTTTGCCCTGGGAGTCCAGGAGACTGCTGTCCCTTGCATGGGGCATGTGTCTGGGCAAACCTTTCCCTGCTGGAATCTCTTTATCAACCCTTTAGACTCTCTCTGCCGGGTTTTCCAGAGATGATTTTCCTCTCCAGACCCAAGAGATGGGTGAGTAGGCTTAGCAGCGATCTAATGAGGGAGAAGGCTTTAATCAGGGGGTGGGGAAGTGACACACGGTGAGTCAGCGGCCATGCTGAAACAGCTTCCCTTCTTTCACTGGGCCAAGAGGATTAAGGGTGGCAGAAAGTTCTGATAACTCCACATCTCCAGGTACATGAGCTCCAGGTACATGAACAGTGGGCTGGCAGGCAGGGAAGAGGGCATTTGGGGATATGCCCTAGAGCTCCTTTGGTGGTGATAGTGGTGGGGTGGTTGGAAAGGTCATGATTCAATTGTGAAGAGGGCTCCAGGCTTACAAGCCCGGGGTGGAGGCAAGGCGGTGTAACCTTAAAAGCTTGGGCTCAGGTGGAAAATGATCCAGGTTTGAATCCTGCCTCTGCTATTTATCAGCTGTGCCATCTTGGGCAAGCCAGTAGCCATTGCCAACCTCAGTTTCCTCCTTTGTATGCGTGGAAATCATAATGCCTCCTTTGGTTGGTTAAATCAGCCAATTGATGTAACATGCTTAGTATGGCGTTTGGACTAAAGTAGGCTCTATCGATTTTGGCAGGTTAAAAAAAAAAAGCAAAACTCAAGTGTTTGTGGGATTGGAGATTCTGAAGAGCTGCAATCAGTCCCAGCAGTTAGAGGGTAAGGGAGATATGGGCAGTAAGTAGGTGGCAGGACAGAGTGTGGCGCCGGGATGGGGTAGAAGATGCCAGTCTTTGGAGTAGATGAACTGGGTTATGGTCCCCAGGCGAACAGGGTGGGAACGTCCAAGGACCACTTGTACTCACTGAGGAGTGGAAGGGGCGCCCGATGGTGAGGGAAAGTTGGTCTGCGTGAGGGTTTTGGCGGAGGCGAAGGGTGAGGGATGAATGGGCGGCAGACTTCCAGAAATGCAGACGGAGGAGACGGAGCAGTAATAATGACTTGGACACACAGGAGGAAAAAATAGCTCAGGGACGAAGATGATGCCAAGGTTTCTGGCTTTTGGAGGCCCACGGGGATCTGAGGTGGGTCTTGAGGGATCTAGAGGGGAGCTTCTGAAGGAAGTGGGTAGGTTCCGGGGAGAGGAAGGGAGCCCAGAACTACAGAGGTGGGTGGATATCTGGGCAAGGAGAGGTAAGTGTGGACCTGGGGCTTCCACAGCTGTGAAGGAGCAGCATCCCAGGAACAGAACGCAGCATTCTGGGAACTAAGGGGCATTCATGGTCAAATGCAAGGGGTAGGGTTCAAGGAGATCTTTAGAGCCAGCCCCAAAGGCAGCAAGCACATGAACCTGGATCAGGAGCTGCCACCCAGAACTCAGTTCCTCTCTCTTAAAATGGGTCTAATGATACCAGCCCTCCCCACTTGATGGGATTACTGTGTCCTTCATTCAGTTAGCTATCCATTTCACACATACTTCTTGGCTGTTCTAGGTTCTGCAGAAACAGTGGTGAGCAACGCAGACAAGATATCTGTTGCTTTAGAGCTGTCATTGTGGTTTGGGAAGTCAGACAAGAAATGATTTTATAGGTTGTTGAATAGGACTTTTCCTCTGCTCTTGGAATATCTGCTGAAGCCACAAAGATAGAACAATGAGGGCTAAATATTCTTGCATTCTGAAGAGAAGTACTAGACACCTTACTAAAGGCAGAACAGGTTCAACAGCAATCAAACTACATCCCTCAATTCCAGTCTACAAATGAAAGGGATTGAAGAAAGTCACTGAAGCATAACACTGCTGCATTTGTGGGCAGGGCTGAGATTTCCCCTGAGGGAACTCCCCAACTCAAACCAAATGAAGGGAGCTCCCAGAGAGAACCAGTCATCTGCAAGAAGAGGAGGCTCTGTCCCTATAACTGTCCCCCCACTGATGCTGACTATGTTGCTGGATGTTACAGGCACCTCGGTGCATTAAACTACAGCAAGACAGTTCATGGGAGAACCCAACATATGTCTTTAGGAATTGAGGACGTACATAAATGAAGAGACTTGTGTGCACTTCCTGTCTGGAGAATTCTGATCGTGGAGCCTCGCTGGAGTGGCCTGTGTGGCAAGGTGAGAAGTGGGCAGGGTGAGGAGCGGCCAACCCACCATTGTTTTGCCTGGCATAGGTGGGACAGTCCTATGAGAGACAGAGGATGCAGGGGTCTCCGAGAGGTTGGCCAGAGAGTAATTTGCTATGGCAACTCAGGGTGGAGGTCCTGTAGAGAACCTCCCAAAAACCCACATATGTGCCCATGAAAAAGCCAGCGCTTGGCACCTGCCAACCAAGGGTACCTGTCACATAAGACTTTGCTACTTTTCCTCTAACACCTCTCTCCCAGCCTTGACAAAGAGGAGCCACAGCAGAAAAGGGAGGTCAGGAAAACAGACCACACCCCACTCTCACCACTGCAGGATCTCTAGCAAAGGGACAGGGGAGAGGAGGACTATTAAATGGGATGTGATATTGATTAACTTGGATGAGATTTTGATCTGGACAGGAGCAGACTTTTTGTGTCTGAAAATGGGTCTTAATTATATTAATAGAATAGTTCTCGTGTCTGGTAGGGATGACCTCTCAAGCCAAGGACTCTGCCTGAGATGTCATTAAGGGTGGGAAAGGGAAATTTACCATAATATGGTTGAAGGTAGTAGTGGAGCAGTTTCTGGATAGTCCCTCTTTAGGTTCAGCCCATTAAAAAATTCAGTTACACGAGCAAACAAATCAATAACAAGATGATGTCAACTGTTTTATGAAGATGAAACAGGGTGGTGTGTTAGAGTCATGACTGGGGTGAGGGAGGGCTGCTCTAGATTGGAGGTCAGGGATGGCTACTCCAGGAGCTGATATTTAATCTGAGAGGAGCAGTGATGAGGAACTACCCTCTAACATCCTGGAGAGGAACCTTCCAGTAGAGGGAAGGGGGCATTCACTTGGCTTGTTCAAGGAGCAGAGAGAGGGCCAAGGCAGCACAGTGTGGTGGGTAAGGGAGAGCAAGAGGCCAGATGAAATCAGAGCGGGGGCAGCCAGCTAGGGTTTGTAGGCCAAGGCCAGGGGTCGAGGCTTTATTTCAACAGTAGATATTACCTGGGCTTGTCTTTTGTGTGGTGTGGGAGGTTGTGAACTGGTGCCCACATGCCAGCTCCTTCACTCTGCCTCTCTGGGAAATAGGCTGTACAAATGTGCCAGGGGCAGCCCTGTTGATCCAAGCCTTTAGGCTGTAGGGAGGGAGCATGGGTGAGAATGGTGTGCTGATTACTGGGGACACGCAGACAGCGGCAGTCAGCATTCCCACACCCCTGCCCGCCTCCCTGCTAACACAAGATGTGAATGCACACACTGGGTCAATCGGGGTCACCGAATCCCCCTCTGGGAAATTCCCGAGAGAGTGAAGGGCTGGGTGGGATCCCGGGAATGGATTCAGCCAGAGGCGGGAGGCCTAGATTCCACTCCCCTCTTTCACATGCGCTATCTCCTTGAGTGACTTACTCAAGAGGCTCCGTGTCTTTGCCTCGGTGAAAAAGAGGACCCCTTGGCCGGGCGTGGTGGCTCACGCCTTTAATCCCAGCACTTTGGGAGGCCGAGGCGGGCGGATCACCTGAGGTTGGGAGTTCGAGACCAGCCTGACCAACATGGAGAAACCCCGTCTGTACTAAAAAATAAAATAATATACAAAATTAGTCAGACTTGGTGGCGCATGCCTGTAATCCCAGCTACTAGGGAGGCTGAGGCAGGGGAATCGCTTGAACCCGGGAGGCGGAGGTTGCGGGGAGCTGAGATCGCACCATTGCACTCCAGCCTGGGCAACAAGAGCGAAACTCCGTCTCAAAAAAAAGAAAGAAAGAAAGAAAGAAAAGAAAAAGAAAAAGAAAAAGAGGACCCCTCTTCTACCGGCAGCCATCACCGCGCCAGGCTCAGGCGTGACCCTCACGCCAGTGGAAGGGGATTGAGATCCAGAGCGAAGGCGGCGGCGCCAGGGCATTGCAGCCACGGAGCGCCAGGGCCGCCAGCTCCGCCAGGGGGCGCGCCCGGGACCTCCCTGCGCTCCGCGCGCCGCGCCCCGCCCCGCGCCACCCCCGCTCCGGCCGGCCCTGCGGAGGGCGCCCCCAGCGGCCAGGGCGCAAGCGGAGGGGGCGGCGGCCCTGTTCCCCTACGCGGGCCTCGGCGCCCCTCCCGGCTTCCTTCAGACCTGCAAGGCTGCAGCCTGGGTCCCCCGATCCAAAGACGGTCCCTGAGGCGAGGGGCGGGAGAACGATTCGGGGCAGGTCTGCAGTTCGAACTTGCCCAGAGCAGGAGAAAGGCGGCCCAGTGTCCCGGTCGTGGCAGGCGCCATCTGCCCGACCAGCGCCTGGGTCAGCCCCGCGCCGCCCCCTGCTCCGCACGGGTTAATCCCCCTCGCCGCCCGCTCGCCGCCCGCTGGCTTCCCGGTGCCAAAGTGGGTGTTGCTGGAATTCCTCGCTCCCTCTCCGGTAATGAGGGGGCTGAGCTGTCCCTCCGAGGAGGGGGCCTGGTGTGGATAAAAGAGACGAAAAAGCCGGGGGAGGTTTCCAAAAATAAAACCGTCCGGGTCCCCTTCAGACGGCTGCAGGCACAGGGAGGAGGCGCGAAGGTGCAGCAGCCGTGCGAGCCCAGCTGGAGTAGGAGCGCGGACTCGAGGCTCGGGGCGCGCAGCCCTCGTTCCGCCGAGAGCCGGGCCCCCAGTCGGCCGCTTCAGGGCCCCCTAGACTCAGAGAAGCTGGCCGCCGGGCGGGGCCGGGAGAACAGCCCGCGGGCGTCCAGCGTGCCGACCACAAAGCTCTTCGCGGTGCCCGCGCGCACCACTCTCCAGCCGCCCCGCGCCATGAGGCCGCGGACCAAAGCCCGCAGCCCGGGGCGCGCCCTGCGGAACCCCTGGAGAGGCTTCCTGCCGCTCACCCTGGCTCTCTTCGTGGGCGCGGGTCATGCCCAAAGGGACCCCGTAGGGAGATACGAGCCGGCTGGTGGAGACGCGAATCGACTGCGGCGCCCTGGGGGCAGCTACCCGGCAGCGGCTGCAGCCAAGGTGTACAGTCTGTTCCGGGAGCAGGACGCG